>NC_000005.10:117079503-117382534 GCF_000001405.40 Homo sapiens
TCTACTGACTACCTTAGCTTCTGGACCTTTTTTCCTTTCTACCAACCCAAGTAATAAGCCACAGTGGTATAAGCTGGGTAAGATTCTTTAGTAGTGGTCTAAGAATGAATTAAAGAGAAAAACTAGAAGCTTAGAGGGTATTTCACAGCTAGGTCAGGTGATGAGTAAGGAAATTCTAAACTAGGTCAGTGCAGGATTTGTTTTTAATCAGTTGTGTTATGACAGGCATAACTAAAAAGGTGATAGTTCTCATGTACTTTTTGGCTATTTTGCATTTAATTAAGAGTGGAAGCTGAATATAATGAAACTGTTTATGAAGGTAGAAATAACTCCTGAGGCAATCTAGGTAGCACACAAGAACAGTTGGATCCCAATTGTCCTCTGTGTGTCTTTAGCAGGGTCTGGGATGTTAGCTTCTGCTTCTACCACTCATCTGTCCACTACAATCATGCCAAAGATATATAAGCTGTGGAGAATACTTTTCTATTTTTATTTCATTTTTCTTTAAGATCTGAATTTCTCTCTTCTCCACAGTGGCAAGTCACAGGTACCTGGTCACAGCAGGCTCCAATGCATGGTATTTAGAAGGAAAACTATATTTATCTCCTATAATGAATGTTAGACTGTTACTCTACATCTCAGCTACCAGGCATCAGTTCAAATGGGATTTATTTAACAAGGAATTCATTGTAGAGATAATTTACTGCAGAGAAATGCATTGTAGAATTTGAGGTGGAGATACTAGGAATTTCTTCTAAGTCATCAAAGGCTCAGGGGACTTTGAGTGTTCTCCATTTTCATACAAAAGCCATCTCACACAAACGTAGACAGTGACAAGATAAGGCAGGGCTTACCTTTGTGTTAAAATAATTGCTATTTAAAAAGGATACCTCTGCTTGTCTATATAGAGCTGAAATGCTTTTGTGATTGACTGAATATTTCCTTCAGACTCTAGTGTTTTGATAGCCTTCATAACTCGTTCATTAACTTCACATCGAGGGTTCTGCTAAGGTCTGTGTGTAATGTAGAGAACTCCAGGATACAGCCACATATTTCAGACCCCCACTCTAATTTTGAAAGGAAGTAGGAGGTTGTTGGAGCTTTATCCGGATCAAATTATTCAGATACTGCTTGATAACTTATTTTATTTTTCATAGGTATAGCCTTGCATATTTGCACGGATAATTTATTTTTAAATTACCCATTCCTGAGGAAGAGGAAAAAGTCTGCATTTAATTGCAAATGCCATCCAGAGAAATGTCTGAAAAAGTACACGTTAACTCAATTTTAATTTACTTCCATTCCTTTGTTATCATTTCCTCCTTTCTTTAATCCAAATACATTCACAAAGTTGGACACATGCCAATGTTTTTAGACAATTTTATGACAATTCAAACAGAAAATATATGTTTTCCAGCAAAAACTCTGTAGCAATGGTCTCACGCATTTTCATTCAATTTATTCTTTGAATGTCAGGAAGAAAATTGACTGGGCAATCATGGTAGTGATATTTCAGGGGCTAAACTTGTTATTTTGGAAGCAAGATTATGATTTAAGCAGAATGCAAGCACACTGACCTCCAAATCCCAGCCCTGGAGTTCTAATACAATGGTCTTCTCATCAAAGTCCCCAGAGTCCTGTTTAAGTCACCTGACTGGCAGGAAAATGATGTCTTCTGATCAGACAATGGATTCCTAGGGCCTCCTAACACATAGACAATTTTTGTTAATAGAGTTAATATATTGTCTATCACCCTAATATTTTTCATTTATAAGTAATTATTAAACCATGCTAAAAATAGGCATCGTAAATACTGTGATACAGAAAATATCCCATTGAGGGATGACAGATTCTTAGAGGGCCAAAAAAACATACAATGTGAGGGATTTCTAGAGATACGGTGAAAAAGTAGTAGCAGGGAGGGGAAAGACAAGTTGGGGACCATCAGCCAATGTGGCCAGTGCCCCAACATCTTTAGCATTGCCTTGGGGAGCACTTCCAGTTTTGATTTTTATTGGTATCTTGCCATATTAGCCCGATAATTGTCCTGGGCTACTTAGGGGTGCATATGAATGCACATAATGACAAAGAGAGAAAAATGTGAGAAAGCCAATATGTATTGAGCTTCTACTATGTTTCAGACAAACCACTGTGTGATTTTATGTATGTTATCTGTTTAATTTCATGTATAGCTCCATTATAAAATAAGGAATCTAAGAATGCCTATTTTGAGACTCTAAAAATGTAACAAGAAAAGCTGTATGTGCTTATATACTTTTTTTAAGGCAGTAGCAGTCATGTTATTGCATGTCTCAGAACTCATGGTGGTCATTTAGGAGGAGAAAATCAGACATGTAAATTAATTCCTGCTTGTCAGTTAGTGGGTTTCTAGGATGGGGGAGGAATATGTAGTCTGCAAAATTTAGAATTTAGTTTTATGAATTTTTTTTTTTTCTGATCCTATTTCTGATCCTATTGTCACACAGGTGCTCAGCCATCCATGTAACTGATTATACTATCTGTTCCTTTTTAAAAAAAAATTAACTCAACAAGAAGACCAATTCAAAGTTTCAAGAACAAAATCCAGACTGTGGCTATTACTTACTGAAATAGCAATTTAAAATAACTTCAAATATTTCTTCCTTGGTTGATTTCTTTTAAACTTTTCTCCAACTTCTTCACCTCTCTTGAACTGACCTTCGTACCCCATGTGTTCTTATTTCTGATAGTAGGTTAGATGTTACATTCAAAGAAATGTGGAAATTGGCTACAGGCCATATTCTCTCATTGCTTTCGTTCATGAAAAAAATGACCTATAGTTTTTTTGGTTTGTTTTTTTTTTTTTTTTTTGCTTCTATGCTTATGAAATGTTTGTTTTAAGCATGCCTTTGAAAGGAGATGGTGGTATGTGCTTTTGGGGTCTCAAATGAATGGTTGACTGGTTCATGGACAGGCTGTCTTTAAGAACTTTCTCCCCCTTCCACTTCCAGTTTCTCTTCTTTCTGGCAATACACAGAACATAATATCATAATTATCCCTGATGTTCATTCTTTGTCTGCCCTAAGAATTATCTAGCCTTTGCATTCGTAGTAAATGGTAGGCCTCAGATTATACCTGTGATTCATTATTAAAAGTATGAATTATGTTAGTTAAATTTTATTCATGTGTGACGCACAAATTTAGGAAACAGTATCCCTAATAATACCTCAAGACATGATCCTGGGCAAAAATATGATACTACTGTGATACCCACAGGATTGGAAATTTTGAACAGCTGAATTTGTTTGTACAGAATGTTCCATGTTGTGTTTTTCAATCAAACACAATCTCCAAAACGTTATTAAGAGCTTCACCTGTTCTTAATGCTGGGGACAGTTTGGAGCTGAAAGGATTTCCAGCTCTAATGTCTTTGCCAGGTTTGAAAAAGCAATTTAATAGTGCCTGAGACCCCTTTATGAAAGTGAAGTTCCCCCACTGCTTTTGAAGAGTAGCCTATTGCCCCTAAATCTTTGAACAATAGCTGAAGAATACATTGCACAAGGGGGATGGAAATGGTGCATATTAACTGCAGCAGTTGCACACAATCCAAGATGAATGGTTCTTCCTTCTCTCCCCTCATCCCTTGTGATTAAAAATAAATTTGTTAGGTATGTCCAGGAAACTAATTACATCATCATGAGGAATATCCCAGTGGGAAAGTCTTTTCTTTTCAGATCAAAAGGATGGCCAGCGGCTACTGTGTTTAATCCAGTCATCTGCAGGAGATAGTGCCAGGGATTGGAAAGTGGCTGTGCTCCTCAGGAACATCTGCTCACAGAAAATGATGGAAAATTAACCATATATTGAGGAGGCAGCTGCAAAGCATGCAGCAAACAGGCATCAGGGAAAGGCTCATTGGGTCAGAGGAGATAAAATGGAAAAGGAGCTTATGAAACCTGGTGGTCCTGTGCAATGTGAGACACCTTGGTTTACTGGAAAATGACATTTAGAGGCAGGAGTCCTGGGTTTTTGAGCCAGTCTGATCCTCACTGGCTAAAGCTACTTTTCCTCCCATAGCCTCCTTTTCATCACCTGTAAATGCAGCCTGGAACAGTTCCCTCACTAGATTATTATGAAGATTAAACATGTTAACTATAAAGCACCAGATATGTCTTAGCTATTATAGTGATACTGAATATTGTTATTGATGTTTCAACTAGCATCCACTCACTTTTCTTAAAATTACAGTGTGACACGCAATCAATGGACATACTGCTCTTAGGATAGAGCCCTCTACATGGTAATGCCCTCAGTATAGTACTCTTACCCAGCAATTGAATGTCATGTACAATCATTACTCAATCAGTCGATTTTAGTGACAATAAAGAGATATTAGAGATCCAAAGAATAGAGAGTATGAAATAGTCCACATTTAATTCTTAAAAATGCAGAGAAATTGAAGTTAAATCCTGAAACACCAAAATTATACTTTATGTTAGACAGTATATATTATATATACCTGAAAACTTGGGAGTCATAAGACTTTCATGACCTAAGGGAGACTATAGAGATCATTTGGTTCAATATCCACAAATTACAGAGGAAGAAATAAAGACCAGTGCAAGCATAGAGATTTGGTTATGTGGTGTGGTAGAGGAGGCTGGTTGTAAATCACAGATACCTGCTGCTTTGTCTCACCATGGAGTGACTCCCAGAGTGACTGCACAGCAAGAGACATTTCCCCTCTCTCTTAGCAAGGTGGAGCCAGTCAGCCTGGTCTCACCAGTGGAATGCTAGTGGAAATGATGTCAGACAACTGACAGACAAAGAGGTTAAGAAGCAGATGTGTCTGTATTCCTTCCATCATCTGTTAACTGGATGTCATTATCATGGATAGCTTTGAAAGCCCAATGTTGAGGATGGCCAAGCTTATTTTTGGGTCCCTAGACAATTGTGTGAAGCAAGCCTTTTACTCTTTTCTATCCTACCCTCTTTTTTCTGATAATTGATTCTTTCTGAACAAGACATGTATTTCTTTTGTGCTAAGCCAAAGTTTACTTGTTAGAGCAGTTAGCTCTATCTTAATAATATCAAACTAGGTTCTACACTTTGCTTTCAATGATGTGTCTCTACAATGGGTTGCTGTTTATTTCTTCTTTGTGCTCAGATTAAAAAAAAAAAAAAGCCATTGGTCTATGTGAGCCACATCTTACTTTTAAGCACAATTTTAGAGATAAGTACTGTAAGAAGAGATAAACATTTCCAGAAAGAAATTAAGCGTAATGCATAGCATCTGGATAAACCATAAATTGCACAGGCATCTCCTGAATAATTAGGCTAATAATCAAAACTCATGTTTTTTTCTTCTATAGAAACCAAAGTTTAGGGGAAATTTTCACAAATATTATGGTATCTGTTTGCATTCTTTAGCATGGTTGTTATTGCCATCTGTTTGTATATTTACCCTAGAGAGAATGAGAAGCAAGGCAGAGCCAAAGGAAACTTTGGGTACAGCGTTGATTACTAAGCACACATATTAATGGGCTCTGGAGTCATATAGTTTGGGGCTAAATCCTGATAATAACAGTTACGAGCTTTGTGAGTCTGAGGATATCATATAACTTTTCTATGACTCAGTTTCTCTATCTGGAAAATGAGACGGGAATAGTTCATACTTTATAGGGTTGTTAGGAGTACTACATGAAATAATGTTTATAAATTACTCAAAATAGAGCCATACTTGATGCTGTATTAGGATAGAAAATAGGGAACACACTATTTGATTAATGATTTTTGAAAGCCATCAAATATTAAAAAACAAGAATGTAATATATATACATACAGACACACACACATACTATATATATATATATATAATTTTTTTTTCAGAGATGGGGTCTTACTCCATTGACCAAGCTGGTCTCAAGCTCCTGGCCTTAAGGGATCGGCCCAACTTGGTCTCGAGAAATGGAATGCTTTCCTCAAGCAATAATGAGAGTAATCGGATGACAAATTGTTTGCCATTAGCATGGTAGAAGGTATCACTGAAACTAGCAGATATTTTGCTACTTCTACCTATCATTACCATTTTCCATAGTAACTAAGATATATATGGGTTTATTAAGTATTAGCTTACACGATCACAAGGTCCCACAATAGGCCATCTGCAAGTGGAAGAGCAAGGAGCCAGTCTGAGTCCCAAAACTGAAGAACTTGGAGTCCGATGTTTGAGGGCAGGGAGCATGCAACACGGGAGAACGATGTAGGCTGGGAGGCTAGGCCCGTCTCTCCCCTTCATGTTTTTCTGCCTGCTTTATATTCACTGACAGCTGATTAGATGGTGCCCACCCAATTAAGGGTGGGTCTGCCTTCCCCAGCCCACTGACTCAAATGTTAATCTCCTTTGGCAACACCCTCACAGACACACCCAGGATCAATATCAATATCAAGTTCACACTCAGTATTAACCATCACAATTACTTTGGCCAATATTTACCCTGTGTGCCTCTATTGCTTAGATGCCATCACAGAAATGTCTGTTTTTTAACCTCATGTTAATAAACAGCTGTTAGTGAAGCTTGAATTTTTTCTTTTAAATTTGTCTATGGGTAATAAATCAATTCGATTAGTTGCAGTGCAAAGTTAGGAGTTCATATAAGAACCCATAATAATTTTTCTAAGCTTATGTTTTCTGTGCTCCCAAGGGAGCTGTTTGAAACCCTTCAGAGCTTAACATGACTGGGTAGCAGGCATCCTCCTGACCTATTCTCACTGAAACACCCTGTCGCTGCCAGGCAGAGGACAAGGTCTTCAAAACAAACACAGGGTGCAGCTAGGAAGGCCCATGACTAGAATGAGTTGGAGACAGAGCAGGAAGAACTTGCCAGGGATATTTTTTCTTCTCTATTGTCTAATCTATTTGCTGCCTAGAGGGTATGACTAACGGCACTGGGATCATAGATGTGTTTGGAGAACGATTCACTAGCAATACAGCTTTATGTTTTATTTTAATAACTTTTTTATTATACAAGTTATACACACTCATTGTGGGAAACATAAAATATAGAAGAACAAAAACAATAACGGAAATTACCCACATACTACCACCAGTGGCTTCCAAGGCTTCTTTTATGCATATATGCATGTATACATTATTCATGTTGTTCTAAAATGCTCATTATCAGGCTTATTGAGGAAAGACTGAGAATTAGAATGTTCTTGAAAATTATTATTCTGTCCCTAGCATATTTGATGTTCTGAGGTACTTTTAATATATATTTTGTCAAACATGACATTGAATAAACTCACTGGTGAGATTTATGCATATATTCTCTCTTCACCAAGTGTACTCTGAAACATTGCAGTAGAGTGAAAAGAACATGTGTTTTGAAAGCAGATGGAAATGGTTCAAGTTTTAGTTTGTTCACTTAGTATTTGTGTGACCTTGGCAAATTATATAGATCAAACCACATAAAACTCCCAACATTTTGATCTTTTTTGACTTACAAAAATAGCAATTTCATACGCTTCAATTTAATTTCTAAACTCTTTGAGTGTCATTTCTTCAACTACTAAATGTAGGATGATACTATCTAAGAGAGTTAATGTGTGAATTAAATTAGATAATACTTGTAAAGTACCTGGCACATAGTAGTTGCTCAATAAATATAAATTCCTTTTCCTAAAATCTTCACTTGGAGTACAAATATTCCTGAAGGAGAAATGAATCTGGGTTCTCAAAAATGTAGATACCAAGATGGAATTAAATGTGTGAGAAACTTTTTAAGGGAAAAGGTTTCTGGGAGAGGCTGGGGAGCCATCCAACCAAAATATAGGTCTGACCTCAGATGAAGGAGAGAGGGAAGAAGGAGAGGTTAGGTGGAAGTGTCTTAGACCACTATGCAGTAAGAAAGTCTGTCAAGGCTGTCTTGGGTACTAGAGCCAAGGTTGCTCATCAGAAGAGTCCATATACTCCTGGAACAGGCCTACCTGAGTCTCCCTGCCTAGCTTATTCATTGGCTGGTAGCGGCCATGGGGAGTGCAGCCTCTGTACAGAGGCAAGAGTTCCAGCGGGCAGCACCTGGGGCCACCCAGTGAGAGATCAAAGAGACTCATTTTTATGGACATCCCTTGTCAATATCAGACATTAATCAGTGTAATTAATCATTGTTCTCAATTCCTCTATATTTTTGGAAAGACTGAAATTAGAATGTTGGAACTAATTAGGATTTTAAAAGTCTAGAAGTTAAATTTTTCCAGCATTGTTTGTGCCTTCCCTCACACTACCTGTCCCACAATTCCCTACCCAGATAAACCCTGACTGACTCAACTCTTCCTCTGCTTTTAGTCTTGCCCTGGATCCTGGATCTCTTCTCTTTTAGCCTTTCTTTCCACCTACCATGCCTTAAGCTGTATAAATCCCTGAGAATGACAGTGGGTTTGTGATGATAATTGACAAATTTTTTTTTGGTTTTTGGTTCTTTCTAGTGAGATTACAAGAGCCCTGACATGAAATAATTGTCATTTTGTCTCTGAACAAGAGAGTCCCAGAGAAAGAAAATAGAAGAGCTGATTGGTGTAACACCCAGGGACTGGAATCATCATGGCTCTCAATTATTGCTAAGGATATTACTGCCTGTAGTTATGATAATAATATTGAAATTTTCTGAGTACTAATAAGCCTATCAGATAATATGATGCCTCAAGATATAGCCACTGGGCCTTTTCTTCATCGCTACATAGAGACATAGGAGGAACCAATAAAAATTGATACAATGTTTTAGTCAGGGGCCATTATAAAATACTATACTGTCACTTTTTCTAGTTAACAAAAATCACTTGCTAATGTCACCTAATCAGAGCAAGAGATGATTGACAAACCTGTCATGCGTACACATTTTTCCAGCTTCTCTAGAGATTTAATACATTTCAGCAGTCATTGTAATTGTGTTAGAATTTATTCTTTGCAAACCATCAAAGTCAATGAGCTAATATCAAAGTTTATATTAACAACTCAAAATAGTTACAACCTTTAAATTGTTGACATGGAAACACATCTTTCTTCACCTTATCAGAACTCTGCACATGTGCCTATGTGGACTGGGCCCTGGGTTAATCAGAAATATACTATTCGATCATGCCTTCAAGTCAGCAAGAGTTATGAAAAGAAACATTATTATTCATGTATTCTGTATATCTACAGAAAACAATCAGTGTAATGGTGCCACCATGTTGGCTGTTTTTCTATCCTGTTTTATTAAACTGGTACAATCCTCATACAATCTAAGTTTTTGTAACTCCAGCACCAGAGTAATTAACAGATATTTACTTTGAGGAAGAGGCAAAAAGCCTATTTCTGCGTAAATGTTATACATAAGTTAAATGTATTTTGTGAATTTAGTATAAAGGATTAAGAAGAAAATATAATGAGGAGAAAACTATATTTTAAACAGCACAAATTTTAAAAATATGTTGGAAAAAGGCATTGAAGGAGTTGAGGTTAACCATGTAGCCTCAGCAACACAAATGTCCTGAATCTCCGTGGTGCACTGGGCTTTATTTTAAACATTAGGGCAGTCATTTGGGAGGGGGTGGATTCATTCATCTGGGCAGGAGCTTGGCTCTGATGGCCAGAGTGAGGATCCTCATGCCTGTGTGCCACTGTGCTTCTCACCTGAATGGTTTCACCGGGATTTTGTTTCTGCACAAAACTGCATTTGGGAAATGATCCTGTGCAACTGTCTATTCAGAGTTTGGCCATCTCCCAGATACCAGTGCAGGAAGAAGGTAGGATGCCTTTCTTGGAAGGAGGAGAGCAGATCAGGTGAAGAGTGACCTATTTACATATATCAAAATTCATTTTTGAGATTTTCTCTTTAATACTGCACCTAGGTGAATATGAAATTAAAAACAGCATGAAGGAAACTTCTGGCATATTTCACTGAAAAATAACCTAATTAATATTGCCTGTTATAGATTTTCAGAAATTTTGAATATTAAACTCATGGTTATTCTACTCTACGGACCCATCTTTTTAAGAACAGAATGTAATTTTCCTTCTTTGAATTCCAAAGATCATCAGGGGATGAGGATGACTGACAAGCTAAGTGAATGAATAAAAGGAAAGAGAATGGATGATTTTACATAGGTCCTGAGTCGGGGAGTGTGGTCCAGGCCACTCAGTGTGAGACTTGAGGGCCTGCCAATTACATCATTGATCACTTTGAGTTTCAGCATTTACTAATATGTAAAAATCACCCTCATCAGTATTTTATTAACATGTAGTTTCATACTAATCCATCCATTCATTCAAGCAACATATATTTATCAAGAATTTGCCATGTCTCAGACACTGTGCATATTTTGGGGGTACAACAATTACTGATTTCATGGATTAAAGATGATAGTGGGAAGGGCTATAGGCCCAAGAGAATACTGAATTTCCCTGCCTTCTCTAAGTATATTGCCATGTCTTAGAAAATAGGGTTTAGTACCTAGTTCAGAGCTTGGCACAATAAAAGTGTGTGGACTGGGGCACACTTGGAACACTGCAGGCTATAGATAATTTTCCTTTCATTAAGAGCATATAAAGTCTATTTATTTAGATTCTTGCTAACAGTAATAAGACAATCAATGTTATAGTAGTTGGCACAGATCATACTTCCCCCGTCACATTCCATCAACTCTGGCACATATCCACAGAACCAGTGGCTAACCCAGAATTCTTTCCCATAAGCCCTTCTGTCTGGGCCCAAAGAGTCAAATAAAGCCATGTGCTCCTATCAGCACTTTAGCAACTGGAACAAATCTGAGTTGTTATTGTCAACTCTGATAACCGCTTATAGACTTTAATTAATTAAATCAAGAATAAATCCCCACACATCTTGACTCCAACGGCATTTATTAAATTTTGGGGAAAGTGTGTGAATACCCCATTTCAGGTAACTTTTTCACTGGATCTGTGTGGTTAACTTCATACTTGTCTATTCTCTCTTTGTGGTCAATTTTATTTTTATCATAAAAATTGTTGTTTGCCAACTAAAAGATGGCTATCTGATCTTTTATTTTATGGGGTAGAGGAGAAGAAATCAAAGTATATGAATAATCAAATCAGAAGTCATTTTGAATTTGATGCTAGTTCTAAAGATGGCCGCTAAAAGGTAATATCAATGAATACGATTGCAAGTGTCCTATCAGAGATATGATGCTATGGGAATACCACTTTCTGTAGCAGGGCAGCACTTCTCCAGCGGCCCCATTTTCTTGGCTGAGTCACCTCCGTTTCCTCAGATATACCTTCTTCCAGTTTCATTCTTTATGACTTTAGTTCTGAGCCAGGGGGAAGGAGCAGCATCAGAGAACTATTAGTTGGCCTGGACAAAGAAAGGCTTCAGAAAAAGGAAAAAAACATGAAAGAAAGAGGAATATTTTTAGTAAATATTAGTAAATATTCCTGAGGCCATCCACATATATTCAGGCAATAGAAGAATCTTACATTAGTCCTTGTGAGTTGAATTAAGGTCCAAGCATAGCTAAGGGGCCCTTCATACTTGAGCAGCCGTTCTTTGATGCTGAGGGGCTTGGTCTCTTGACATCAAGTCCTGGAGCACATGAATTTCAATGAGCCAGGCAGGCAGACTGGGCCAGCCTTAGAGGTGGACAACTTGACCTTGCTACAGATACTTCACCATCACTGAGGATCAACTTAAGGCAATCTGAGAAGTCCTTTAAAAGAGGGGTCAGAGCTTGTTAAGTCAAATGGCTATTAGGCAAATAAAGGAATGGTGCCTGAGAATGGGTATTATGGTACTCGGGGGCCTGGATATCCATGTTTGGTTATAGTGGAGTATTGTCCATTTGCAGCTGGATTTAAGGTTGCCAGATCTTTCGATTTTTCAGGACATGAAAAATTAGCTTTTTACATGAATCTCAGTTATTAAATGTTGGTAATAATATTTTAAGATGCTGTTGTGGCACAAATAAGATATGTATGAAATGCTAGGTTTCAACCTTGGTTTAAGAATTCAGATATATTTATAACATTAGTGGCCCTAGTTCTCCGTCTTCTGGGAACATGTGCTTGATAGAAACAAGCACCTGGACCTCAACAACTATCTGAAGGGCAGAGGGTCCTCTTTCTTTTGGCAAAGGGAAAGCCAGCCACTGGTGCCAAATCTTCACATCCTACTCTTCCTGCCTTAAACTTCTGGCAAGGAACCAGGCTTCTTAAGAGCTAAAGTTTCGTTAGATTCCTAAAATAGAATTTAATAAGAAGTCTTTTTTTTTTTTTTTTGAGACGGAGTCTTGCTCTGTTGCCAGGCTGGAATGCAGTGGCGCGCGATCTTGGCTCACTGCAAACTCTGACTCCCGGGTTCAACCGATTTTCTTGCCTCAGCCTTCTGAGTAGCTAGGACTACAGGTGGTATGCCACCATGCCAGGCTAATTTTTGTATTTTTAGTAGAGACAGGGTTTCATCATGTTGGCCAGGATGGTCCTGATCTCTTGACTTCGTGATCCACCCGCCTCTGCCTCCCAAAGTGCTGGGATTACAGGCGTGAGCCACCACACCTAGCCAAGAAGTCTTTTTAATCTCTAAGAAATTAGGGACAAAAGTGTTCTGCAATAAAGCCAACGACTGCCAGAATCAGAGTTTAACGGATTACAGGTGATCATATATTGCTAGTCTTCTACTGAGATGCCAAGGAACTCCCTATCCTTTCATGGCTTTAATAATTCACAAAACCCTTCCATGTGCATCATATCATTAGCTTCTCATTCTGAAGGGTAAATATTATTTCTCTATTACAATAAGTAAACCGAGGCTCACAAAATGAACTGATCAAACAAGTATACATGACTGATAACTAATGATTTAGGAGTTGTGGCTCTCAGCCCAGGGGGCTTTTCATAAAATCATCCTACCTCTTCCCACAGGGCCACACATGTGGCCAAGTTCTCTTTTGCTAACTTTCATTAGGCCATGCAAAGGCAAACCATTCGGTGACATACTCCAATTTTTTTTTTTTTTTTTTTTGAGACGGAGTCTCGCTCTGTCGCCCAGGCCGGACTGCGGACTGCAGTGGCGCAATCTCGGCTCACTGCAAGCTCCGCTTCCCGGGTTCACGCCATTCTCCTGCCTCAGCCTCCCGAGTAGCTGGGACTACAGGCGCCCGCCACCGCGCCCGGCTAATTTTTTGTATTTTTAGTAGAGACGGGGTTTCACCTTGTGAGCCAGGATGGTCTCGATCTCCTGACCTCATGATCCACCCGCCTCGGCCTCCCAAAGTGCTGGGATTACAGGCGTGAGCCACCGCGCCCGGCCCATACTCCAATTTAAAGGGTAGCATTTCTCCTAGCCAGATTACTCTTTTTACAACTGTTACTATATGTGTCCACTGGCAGAGTATAAAATTTTTAAACTAATTTAAGATTTTAATAAATTAATTTAAAAATTTTTAAAATTAAAAATCAGAACAATATCAATATAAAACACAAATTCAACCAATGACAGACTTTACTGATACTACACAGAATAATGATATTTAAATTATAGTAACAAACATTGATATTAATATCATCATTGATTGGGGCCATTTCATAATTAATAAGTCAATATATCATTTTGACAAAGAAGTAATTAGATGATAAGGTTCTCCACTAAAGAAATTTCCTTTTTTTAAAAAATCGATGCATTATGATTATAGAAATTTCCAGGGTATATGTGATATTCTGATACATACATACAAAGGGAAAAAAATCAACAGGTTATTAGGATATCCATCACCTCAAACCTTGATCATTTCTTTGGGTTGAGAACATTCCAAATCTTCTCTTCTAGCTATTTAAAAATGTACAATAAGTTATTGTTAACTATAGTCGCCCTACTGTGCTATGGAAAACTAGAAGTTATTTCTTCAATCGAACTGTTATTTTCATACCCATGAACCAGATTCTCTTCACCTGCCCTCTTCCCACCTTTCCCAGACACTGAAACCACCATTCTCTCTACCTCCATGAGACCAACTTTCTTTAAACTCCTCTCTATCAGTAAGAATATGTGATATATTTTTTTCTTTTTCTTTTTTTCCCGATGTCAGCCTGGGGAAAGGGAGCACTGATGAAAGATGCAGTTCGCTGAGCCATTCGAGACCTGCTGTCTGAGAAACCTCCTGATGGGGCCACCTTCCCTAAGCAACAAGCACGCACCCCCTAACAGACCTAAATGAGCGGGGAGCAATGCCCAGAATTCCCAGGCATAGGGTCGTCTGGAGGCCGGTATGGGGGAGGGGTGTTGGTGCTGGCGGTAAACACCTAGATGAGGGAGGGGGTCTACCCGGCCAACCCTCATCAGCGGCTTCCTTCCTAGACTCTCCCTGCCACTATGCGGGAAGAAGGGCCCACTCGCCTGGGTCCCAGGCTGGGGCTCCCCCGCGGGAAGAAGACAGGCTCTGGTGACAGACACCTGCCCCCAGGCACTGTCGGACCCCAGAACAGTGTCTGGAGCTTTCCAGCTTTATGGAAAGCTTTATGGAAAGCTTTCCTCAGCTTGCCCATCCATAAAAAGGAAGTAACACCTGGACCTGCCTCCAAAGGCAGAGGCCAGGGTTCCGCAGCTCCAACCACGTGCTCAGCAAACAGCCCCTGGCATTATTTTCAGATTCCCCCATACCCAGTCTCCTCCAGGGCCCCACTTCGCTTTGGGGCAAGCTCTGAGGCCCAGCTCCTTCCCTGCAGTGTGCCCCCAGGCAAGTCACTTGGCTCTCTGGGCCTCAGTTTCTCCATCCCCACACCAAGCTCACTGGACTCATGGGTGGATCTGGGGTCTCTGCCGCTCACGCGCCAGGAAGGCAGCGGATTTGGGATCATCCAGCCTTGACCCTGCTGCACTACCTGGACCAGTCCCCACTTCCTGACCAGGCCTCATCTGGGGTTCATGCCCTCAATGCTGAGGCTCTCTCTTGGTGGAGTGACCTTGGGACAACGCTGTCCCCAGCCTCAGTTTCCCCGTAAGAGTCAGCTTGCTTTAAGGGCGTTGCTTCACCTCAGGCCTGCAGGAAAGGCTCCCCTGCCTGCCTGACAAACCTGGCTGGGGCCTCACCAGCAGGCCCGAGTGTGGCACGATCGGGACCCAGCAGCAGTGGCTGAAGTACCATCTGGGCTGCAGCGTCGCCTGCGCCATGGCCACTTCCACTTCTTCAGTGCAGCTACCGCCAGCCGTTTCAGAACGTGTTATTTGACTTTCTGTGCCTGGCTTATTTTACTTAACCTAATGTTCTCCAGTTCCACCTGTGTTGCTGCAAATAACAGGATTTTATCCTTTTTATGGCTGAATAATACTCCATTGTGTGTATATGCCACGTTTTCTTGGTCCATCCATCCGTTGATGGACACTGAGGTTGATTTCCTATCTGGGCTATTGCACTCCCAATAAACGTGGGAGTGCAGATATCTGTTTGATACACTGATTTTTTTTCTTTTGGTTATCTACCCTGCAGTGGGATTGCTGGATCACATGGTAGTTCTATTTTTAATCTTTGGAGGGACCTCCACATTGTTTTCCATAATGATTGTACTAATTTACATTCCCACCAACTGTGTATAAGCGTTCCCCTTTCTTCACATCCTTGTTTGTCTTTTTGATAATATCCATTCTAACTGGTGTGAGATGATATCTGATTGTGGTTTTGATTTGCACTTCCGTGATGATTAGTGATGTTGAGCATTTTTTTCATATACCTGTTGGCCATTCGTATGTCTTCTTTTGAGAAATGTCTGTTCAGATCTTTTGTCCCTTCTTTAATTAGATTATTGGTTTGTATGCTGTTGAGTTGTTTCAGTTCCCTGTATGGCCTTAAATCTTTAAGTTGTTTCAGGGTCACAAAGGCATATAAAAGGCATTACTGTTTTCTTCTAGTGCTTTTCAAAACCTTGATCTGCATGTATATCATCGGGGGATCTTGTTAAAATGCAGATTCTAATGACTAGGTTTGCGGTGGGGCCTGAGATATCTCATTTCTAATCAGCTTCTGGGTGATGCTGCTGTTGCTATTGCTTTGCTGGCAGGACCCTGCTGGGAATGACACAAGCTCTTGGGGGTAGAAAAACTGCTAATTTATAAACCAGCCTTTCCCACATTACATGTGAAAACTTACAATCTATTTTAAGTAAATGGTTGAAAATGAAGTCCTTTCTAGATCTTCGCTTTTTATTTTGTTTTCATTGCATGTTTTGTTGTAATATTGTGTAACTTCAATCAAAATGTGTTTGAATTCCTTAGACGAGGCTTGTTATATGCCAAATCAGCTGACGGCTCGTCTCACCATTTCTGTGAGTGCCTCACATAGCATGTGTCTCACATTCTCTAATTTCACACGTTCAAAAACCTTTTTGTTGTTGTTGTTGAAACAGTTCATTCCAAAACTCTATGCAATTTTGTCTTGTCTTAGCATTTTCTCTCACAGTAAGCAAGTCCCTTGTGTCATGTATCTGGTTACCTGAAGACATTTATGGACTGTAATTATGTTCCCTGCTGAGTCTCCTTTTTTTTCTAGGCCATAAAGATTTAGTCACAATCTCCTCTTATGCTTTATACTCCTGGCCCTTGTTACATGTTTTCAGTCCTCTTTGTATTTTTATAATGGTTCCCTCTTTCCTCCCTAAATCGGGGCTGAAAAGAGTGAAGAGAAGGTTGTGTGTAATTGAGAGACTGTGCCGCTTTAGTTCTTAGAAGGAGTATTTCCCAGGGAGCTGAGACACAGCAGGAAATACAGCAGTAATTGAGGGGATAGAGCCCTGTCCTCTTGCAGCCCAGTCCCTGAGTGCTATTCATGCTGATTGCCCGTATTCCCAGAAAGCATATAGTGGATTTCTTGTACATAAAGATATTTATTTTAAGGGACTACTTCTTTAAGATTCTTTTGGATCTCAAAATCTCTTTCAGCCTATTTTGAATAATGAAGTAAGCAAACACAAGTGTCAATATTTGCAGATAGTTTACTTGTGCATATATAAAATCCGGTACAAAATGTCACATATATTAGTCAGGGATCAACCTGAGAAACAGCCAATAGGACACACACACACACACACACACACACACACACACACGCACGCACGTGCATATATATGCATATAAGAAGGAACTGCTGATACTGCTTATGTAGTTACAGGCGCTGGCAAGTCTGAAATCCATAAGGCAGGACATCAGAAAGGGCAGAATGAAACTCTCAGGCACGAACTGAAGCTGCACTCCACAGACAAAATTTCTCATTCTTCAGAGACTTCAAGAGATTTGTCACCCTTAGAGGGACAGCAGATGTGGTCTTGAATCTGGGGGAAGCAGAAAGCTTGACTGAGACCTTCATCTAGAGATGGCTCCTAGAAAAGCTGCCCCTTCAGTGAAAAAAAAAAATTTCTCAAGCTGGTGAAAAAAAGGAACAAGAAGGCAGCAGCAAAAAAAGATGGGGAAAAAAAAAACTCCTATGAGAAATCATAACTCCAACTTTTTATTATACGTAGACACAGAATTCAAACATACATTCCTTGCAAGGTATGAGAAATTAAAATAGAAACCTTTGTGTAAAATCTGGTCCTACACTCATGAAATGTGGGACACAAGGGAAGCAAAGGCAAACCCCTAGTGTAAGGACACTTTTATAACACAAGGCACGTAGGGATCCCCTGGGGAGTGGAAGTACTACTGCGGAGGCAACAGTGAAGATGAGCTCACAAGGGGGATGGGAGGGCAGGTGATGTATGCACTCACAGACCATGTGAGGAAATGCAAACCATGAGGAAGATGCAAAAACATTCTAAAGACTTGATAAACAATCTAACACTGTAAAATAAGTTAAAACTGATTCAAGACATAAAAGTAGGAATAGATGCCATAATAAAATATCTGGAATCTTATGAAAGGGAGGCTGTCACATTTGTAAAAGAACTTCTGAAAACAAAAAAGAGACATTACAATTTTAGAAATTAGTAGATTATTTTTAAAATGTTAAGAGATCACAGATTGTAGTAACTATAGTATCATAGTAACAATTTTTTAAATTTTAAATTTGTTTCTGTGATCTTTAATGTTCCAGTGATTTTCCTTTGTTGAATGTGGTAGTCACTATCACTTGCTCTCATTTAATGTTAAAAATATTAAGCTTTTAAATCTGCTTAGCCCACAAACCTTTAAATATTTAAATGCTGCTAATTTAAATATTTAAATAATGCTGCTAATGACCAAATGTAGACATTTGAAATTGCATGTAGACATTTGCATTCTTAGATATGCAAATATTGGTTTCAGCCAAATTTTTCAAACTTCAAAAGAATTTACGATTCAAATATGTCTATTTTCTTCAATGCTTTTGAGGTTTTATAAACAACATGTATATATATATATATATATACACACACACACACACACACACACACACACACACACACACACTTGACTGTGGTTACAAACCATAGTGGTACTACTCTGTACCAAGTACAAAAGTTTTAGTATTTTTAGTTTGATTTATTTTGTCAGTGTTTTAAGTTGTATTTTGTGCTTTCCTGGGATTGTATTTTGTGCTTTCCTGGGATTATAGTAATCTTTTTCATCCTACCAAAGGGAATAAAAATAATTTCACATCAGAAAGGCTGCAGATTATGTGTCATTCAAATTTTTCGGCACTGTAACCCCAAGCCAGGACTTGTCACATTAGGTTTCCTCTTCAAGCATGGGGTCACTTGCTCCATCAATGGGATTTTCACAATTATATTTTCTAATAGGGCACTCCTTCCTTTGGCCAATATTCATGGTCACGTGATGTTTGGCCTTGGTTTACGATATATTTCATAATGTTTTATTAAAATCATACAGAATTTTATCACCTAGGTGATGAGATGTTGAATCTCTACAGCATCTCCTCTGAGATATTTAACTAATCTATTATCTTCCTCTTTGAGCCTCTCTTTCTATAAGGACATTGCATGGGAATAGGTCCTTCTTCCTTCAGCAAATTGTTTTCTGTACCCACGCTTTCCTCTTACACATGTAGAAAAAAATGCTTATCTTCATTATAAAAAAAGTTCTTATTATAAAAAAAATTAACAGCTATGAGGATAATACTCTCTGGTAATAAAACATAATAAAAATGTGCTAAACATATCCTATTCATTCTTTATTTTTATTATATGTCCCTTTCTGTAAACTTACCTTTTTGTACACTATTTTTGACTTTTTTTTTTTTTTTTAAAGATTCTACTTTTTATCTACTTGACCTCTTTTACTTAGCTGTAGTGACTTGATTTTTTTCTGTTACTTTGTCACAATCTGGCCAAATGTTGCATGCTCTAAACAGGCTTTCTTTCGCCACTGCTTCAGACACTTGGGAAATTTTCACCTTTTCCGGCAGTAAAAACAGATTCTGGGCCCATATTGCATTGTTTCCTGTTCTGAGACCAGGGCTCTCCTATTCTGCAAGAAAATTTATTTCTATCTAATAGAGAATAGTATTTAGAAAACAAAAAAGTTAACGATACCCATCTGATGTTCCTCCTGAAAACAGTGGGTGGGAAGATGATGTAGCTATAGGCTGCTTTAGTGACTGAGCTGGAAAATATATTTATTTTAGGTCATGAGTTCACACTGATATTTCCTATTTTAAAATTTAGTATTCTTAATTTATTTTATGTTCTTTTACAATATAAAGTTTTAAATTTAATTTCTCTAAAATATGCTTCTCAAATTTTTACCTTTTTATCAACATTTATTTTGTAGCTGTGCCTTTTCCTTAGCCATTTGTCACATTGACCTTCTCTTTTTCATTCTATAGTCACTTTATTGCCAAAGAGAATACTAGATACAGGTTTGGAATAGAAACTTAAATATGTGACCCGGAATGAAGCACAGGAACACAAAAAAATTAAACATATAAGAGACATGAAGGTGAGTTCACCGAGAATATCCAGTGAGAACTCCAGAGGAAAAAAGTAGAGGATGTGGGTGAGAAGCATAAATTCAAGAGACAAAGGCTGAGTATTTTCAAAATAGATGAATGGCATCATGCTTAGATTGGCAGAATACACAGTGGTAAGCAGAATTTTGAACTGGACCCCAAGACTCCCAGTCCCTGATGTACACCTGCCATATAACCTCGGGCTAGGAAATGACTTCGCTCCCACGATTAGATTTTGTTTTATGGCAAAGGTGGAGGCCTTTGAAGATGTATTTAAGGTCCCATATAAGTTGCCTTTGAGTTAGTCAAGAGGGAGTTTATTCCAGTTAAAACAGGCTTAATCAGGTGAAAGCCCATAAAAGAGGGACTGGGCCCTTTCTTAAGAAAGGTATTCTTCTACTGGCCCTACAGAAGCAAATGGCCATGTTTGGCAGGAAACTGTGAGCAGCTTCTGGGAACTGTGGGTGGCCCCTAGCCCATGGCCAGCAAGAAAATGGGAACTCAGCCACATAGCTGCATGGAGAGGAATTCTGTCAACAAACTGAGGAAGCTTGGGAGTGGACTTTACCAAGCCTTTGATGAGACCTCAGCTTCAGTCGCATGTAGGTTACAGCCTGATAAGACCTTGAAGCAGGGAATCCAGCTAAGCCGGGCTTAGCTTAGTTTCCTCCATGAACTGCAGAAACTATGAGAAAATAAAAATGTGTTGTTTTAAGCTATTAAGTTTGTGGCAGTGTGTTATGCAGCAATGGCAAACCAATACATACACATTGATAATGTCAATGCCAATGGTATGGGCACCCTGGGACATTCCCTTTAAAGTAAAGGATAGGTTGTTATATCATCTGCCTCTTGGGCCACTGGATATTGGAGTCATCATATAGTGTGCTTGAGATGACAGCTTTGACCCATTTTTGAGTGACTTTCCAGGATACCAGATTTGAGTAATGTCCAGAACAAGAGGCCTCTGCAGCTGAGGCAGTCTGTTGCTCTGCTGCTCAGTCTCTATCACCCAGCAGATTTGAAGGCATTAAATGTATCCACTATGGATAAGGATGCTATAAAGGCATTTTTGGCAGATTCCCATAGGAAAATTGCAGGGCTGACTCATAGAGTTCTGAAGTAAGGTCCTGCTTTCTGCGGGAAACAACTACCCTTTGTTAAAAACACAGTTTCTGGCTGGGCGCGGTGGCTCACGCCTGTAATCCTAGCACTTTGGGAGGCCGCAGTGGGCGGATCACCTGAGGTCAGGAGTTTGAGTCCAGCCTGGCCAACCTGGTGAAACCCCATCTCTACTAAAAATAACAAAATTTAGTCAGGCATAGTGGTGGGCCCCTGTAATCCCAGCTACTCAGGAGGCTAAGATAGGAGAATCGATTGAACCTGGGAGGCAGAGGTTGCCGTGAGCCAAGATCATACCATTGCACTCTAGCCTGGGCAACGAGAGCAAAACTCCATCTCAAACAAAAACAAAAACAAAAAAACCCCACCACACTTCCTGGCAGGCTTAACCCTAGTGACTGAAGGTCTCACTAAGGTTCACTCACTGTCTATGCAATTAGAACTACCCATCATGAACCATGTGTTATCAGTTGCACCAAGTCATGAGATGAGGCAAGGCAACAGTAATGCATTATATGATTAAAAATGCCATATTTAGGATCAGGCCTGGATAGAATCAGAAGACACTAATATATTTCATAAATAGGCAGGCCAGACCTTTGTGTTCCCTACTACCATGACATCAGTCCCTCTTTGTAAGCTCACAGTATGGCTTCATAAGGGGTTCTCTATGAGCAACTCATGGATGGCAAAACCTCGTTCACATATGGGTCAATGCAATAGAGATACTGCTCCAATAGAGGTACAGGTTTATTACAGCTACCTGTAATGAACCACTGCTGCATTACAGCCCCACTCAGAGCTAGCACTATGGAATAGTGTAATGGAAAATCCTTGTATTAGAAAAAGCTCTGAACAATACACTTGGCTGTTTACTTTGTTGGGAGAGAGAAGTGCCTGGAGATAGGTACATCTACTAAAATCCTGGGCAGTGGCAAAAGTTCGTCTAGTAGGTTAGGGGCTTGGAACAAGAATGAAAGAGTAAAAATTCTGAATATGTGGCATGACAATAGGCTAATTGGCATAGCGCAAATTATGTGAATCTTTATGTTTAACCTTAAAGGATGCTCTCAGAGACTAAGTGGATAGGATGACTCATTCTATGAATGTCATCCAGCTTCACTCTTCAGCCACTCCTGTACCACAGTTGTTCATAGACAGAGTGTCCATGATGTAAGGGATGGAGGCTATTCTTGGACCCAAAAATATGGGCCTCACCAAGGTTGATGTAGCTACTGCCACTGCTGAATGTCCCTCTGGTCAACAATAGTAAGATATGCTAAGTCCTTGATCTGGCAACATGCCTGTGGTAGACCAGACAGCTACCAGGACTTGGATTGCCAGATACAGCAAATAAAACTATAAGATGCTCAGTTAAATTTGAGTTTCAGATAAACAATGAATGTCTTTAGTATAGGGGTGTCCCATGTAATATTTGAACATACTTTTACAAAAAAATTAAAAACCTCTTCATCATTTATCTGAAATTTAAATTTAAATTGTATGTCTTATATTTTATCTGATAATCCCAACCTGGAGACCAGTCAATTCTCCACAGGGTGGTGGGGAGAGGGGACACAGATTGCCTTTACTATAATCAATACCTATCATGAATATGAGATTTCGATTTTCCCATTCAGAGTGTTTACAGAATACCTGATTTATCAACAAATATTTCACACAATATTGTCTTGGATCAATGAGCTCATTTTATAGCAACAGAGGTCTAAGAATAACTATGAGACACACTGGTGTTACATGTACTTCATGTCCCATCAACAGCCAGGCTAACAGAATGACTTATTAAAGTCTTCTCTAAGGGACTAGTTGAGGAATAACAGTCTTGAGGGTGAGGCCTTGTCTTGATGGAATTTGTGTATTCATTGAACCTGCCATCTTAGTAGTTGCAGGAAAAATTATTTGATAAAATGCAATCGCTAGTCATTTTTTTAAAGTCTTGACTAACAAAAACAAAACAGAGCTTCTTTAAGCTGAGGTTAAAGAATGTCTAGTTAACATCATTTGGATGAAAAAGTAGCAGCATTCCCTTTTCATTCAAAAACACTGTAAGAATGCCTGCTATTCCAACTCCTACTCAACATTGTCTTAGAGGTCCACTCCAGCACAAGAAAGGTTAAATAAGATAAAAGACTGAATGTCAGAAACCAGAGAGAGAGAGAGAGAGAACTCATGAGAGAGAGAGGGCAGTTTAGCAGAGTGATGAGTAAGAAAGGGGAAGTTTCAGTGAGCTGAAAATGAATGAGTATGGAGAGTGAGAGCAGAAAGCCAAGAGTGTAGACAGTGTTTCAATATACCTGGTTTTGAAGAAGAGGAAAAAGATAAGGTGATGCCTTGAGATGGACATGAAGTTTAGGGAGATTTTAACATGAATTTAGGAAAGACTAAAATATGTTCAAATGTGAAGAAGAAACCAGTAGAAGAGGGGAAGTTAAAGACAAAGAACAGAGGGTCTAATTTTAATGCTTAAATCACTGAAAAGGAGGGAGGAAAAGGAGCCCTGGAGGAGAAACATATTTTTCTTATTTTTAAGAGTCATAAAAATCTCTTCTATTTCAGTATACAATAATATTTTGCTTACTTGCACTCACTAATTTATAAAACAAATTACTCCAGAATTTGGGATTATTCAAGTGGGGGCAGAGCTACAGTTGATCTTTGTGATATGCATTTTATTATGTTTTAATTGGCTTTACCAATGAAATTAATAGGTAAAGAGAATTTGAGAAGAATGTTTATCCCATGGAAAAAATCTTAAAAAAAATCAAGCATTATATTTGCATATCAATAATGTGCAAATTACAAATTATTCTTTTGGACTACAGACATTAAATGGAATCTTTGGTTAATAATAAGTGTTACCCTGGGGCTATAACATAATATAATGGCAGTATTCCAAAAATATTGTATAATTCCTTGTTTTAACTTGAAAAGCCTAACACTTTTCCTTTTCCCAATTATTTCAAATTAATGAGGTTTTGCTGCAATGCAGAGAATGAATCCAGAGAACATTGCCCAATTTCCTGACCAGTACTTGAAACTTTAAACTATCTGTCTGTCTGTCTGTCTTTTTCTCCCTTTTTCTTTCTTTCTTTTAACTGAAAGCACTTTTCCAGAGTCTAATTCAAGCTGAGCTCCTTTCAGTCACACCTGCTATAAGTGTTGGTTCCCGCTCTGCACTGTTAAGTGGAGTTGGCCTGACAGGGCAATGTCCTCCCAGACTCAGGGCCTCTGGATGCAGAAAGCCAATTTACTTCTTGCTGCTTTGTCTTGGGCACCTCACAATGTGCTTTAATGACAGCTCAGCAGTTTTAATAGCCCTTTCTAATGGCTAAAAACAGACCCAGTCTGTCCAAACATAGCCTATTCACCAGCTCTCGTCAAAACAATTCAGTTTTGCTATATGATGATGCAGCAGACCATGGAAAGCAGCCACACAGACTCTATTCAAGTCCGAAGTAGGACCCTGGGGCTAAAGCAAGTCAACCCAAGCTGTGGTCAGATTAAATACTTTTTTTTTTGTACCGTCTGTTTCTGAAACAGGGCTTCTGTTTCAATGGGACAATGCAGGCTCCATTTGCAAAAGCAACTCAGCACAATTTAAAAAACCATTAGAGAAACTCCTTCCTTGAAGGGATGAGGGATTTTGATTTTAACTGCAGGGTGTCATTTGTGCTTACACACCTTTATTCCACAGCATGGAAAAAGAAAATCTGAGACTGGCTTGTGGGTAATTTGTTTAATTCTCAAAGCGAATGACCATTTGCTACTCTATTTTCCTTTTAAGCCAATTCATGTTAAATATCTGTAAACTTACTATAACTTTTTGACTTTCATCTTTGTCATCAGGTGCCTTTCATTTCAAGTTCTTTACAGTGTCCTGACCTACAAAGATACAGCAATAAAGGGAATAAAAAGTGACACTTAAATAAAAAATAACTGGTTTCCCCAGGCTCCCTTAGGGATGTAATTTTATAATGAAAATGTACTAATAATTCTTCAGTGAAAAAGTTTTTCCCCTGAGGTTTTTTAAAGGTAAATTTCTAAGCAATATTTAACAAAAGCATATCTAATGGTGCTGCCACAAACCATTTCATTCAACTATCCTTTTTGTATACATGTAGATTAGAAAATATTGTTTGTTTGATGATTATTACTTATTTATCTCAGCCAGTGTGCAAGCCTAGAGTTTTTACTTCAGAATAAACTGTAATTTAAAATAAAGATGGCTACACTATTAGTGGAAGCACATTTCAAATTACTGCATCCTCCACTGGAAGCTTGTTTGTGCAGTGACAAGGACTTCTAGGCCCAGATGACAGGTTTGTGAACTCAGGACTGTTACCCTATGTAACCTTCATGAACCCTCAGGGAGATGATGGAACAATGGTTCAAAGTCTTAGAAAAGGTTGTAGAAGAGAAATCCATTTATTTTAAGGGTATGGTTTCTTTAGCCGACTAGAAGCTGTTCTTTTGTGTCTAAAAAATGGGTGGTTGTTGAAGTCAGGACAAAAGAAGTAATCCTTTCATCAACATTAGTTAATAAATGAAATCTGAAGGAATCATTAGAATCTGACCGTCAGAATAGTATGGAAAGTGGGACGATTGAGATGAAGACAGTGCTGGTAGGGGGATCAACCCAATGTGGCTGCTGAAGGGGGATGTATGCCAGGAATCAATGAATGAGGATCTTTGGCCTGAGGTCGCATGCTCATGACCTTGCACTTCTATCGGGTCCTTTTGTTGAATCAGAATGCCTGGGACTTGTAGGAACAATCAGTAAAAGATGAAGGACAACTTTGATACCTAAGAGAGGAGCACAGACCATTGCTTTCCTAGTGCTGCAGAGGGACACCACCCAGAACCGATGAGTGCAGTACGCTCTACCCAGGCATAGAATGGAGTTCTCCAGTGGCTACTAACTCTTGGACTAACATGTCCCTGTGAAGAGATGAAGCCTTGCCAAGTTCAAAGACAAAGGTCTAAGAAAGAGTGTCAGGATAAATGCAAAGTAAAGCTGAAATCCTTGCACAGGCTGAGCAGACATAGAGTTCTAGCGTGTGGTGCAATCAATGTACCCTCACAGTTACAGACCCAGTCTACCTAATGAGGTCTAAACTTCAAGTATGGAGGATCTGACCAAAGTCCAGTGAGCCAGCTTGAGCGTATGCGTGTGATTTAAAATTTACAAGATTTATCTTAATGTCATTTCTGAGTGCCTGGGTCAGGTCTGCCCTTGTTGGAATCTGAAGAGATCTAATTTGGATATCCACCATTTCATACCCAAGTTTGGAATGGCCGGCACTTACTTCAAGAAATAAAATTGTAAGATGCAAGTATTATTTCTTGGTTACAGTTATGCTGTGTCCAGTTTATATACATTCAGAGGCCAGTGCATTCACATATTCATTTTTGGGGGGTTTGGGGTGGGGAATGGAGTAGAGACTGGTTATACTATTTTGTCATGCAGAGTCTGCTGCCCTATGCTCTGAAAGAGGGACAGTTTCCAGTTTCCTTAACATTGTAACGCCTCAGGCAGTATATGAAGTCCACCTGGAGTTTGTGGTAAAGCAAATTTTTATAATATCTCTACTTCTTTGTCCTTGGTGGTGAGTTTTGCTTCAAGCTAGTTCTAAAATTCAACAAGAATGTCCCAATATTTCCTAACAGAGAGAGAAAGCATGCAAGTGGTTTGAATTTGGAGCATATTTTCTATTTTATCACCTTTAATGAGAGAGTCAGAGCCTGTCAGTCATGTGATTGACTGGCTGCCTTCAATATGTTTTCCAGGGAATTTAAGAAGTGCAGTATTTTCTTTTCTCTGTTGCCAGTATCAGTGACACTAAATATTTAATTACTAACTAGGGCTGCAGTAGCTGCTCCTCAGGAGTGATGAATAACGAGCCCCTGTATATTTGTGAACTCCCTGTTGATGGCTGATTAGGTTGACTATGCATGGAGAGATTGAGCATGGATGGTTTATTGCTCATGGTGAAAGAGGAAAATGTAATGCCGAGAACCTTGACGAAGCTGAAAATGTAAAGGCTGCTTTGTCATTGGCGTGTAATTTTCACAGTGCCTTGAATAAAAATAGTTCTTTCAGTTTGTCTAATTTTTTTTAAAGAGGTATCAAAGTGTCTTTTAAATCTGTTCTGAAATTTACTCGTTTATATCCCTGTGGTATATTACTGTCCCCATAGTATGATTTTTCATTTTTACAAGTGGAAAAGCTGAATCACAGAGAAATTACCATTTTACATATAAAAGTTTGTTTTTGTTTGTTTATTTGTTTTTTGAGATGGAGTTTTGCTCTTGTTGCCCAGGCTGGAGTGCAATAGCACGATCTCCACTCACTGCAGCATTTGCCTCCCAGGTTCAAGTGATTCTCCTGCCTCAGCCTCCCGAGTAGCTGGGATTACAGGCATGCGCCACCACGCCCAGCTAATTTTGTGTTTTTAGTAGAGATGGGGTTTCTCCATGTTGGTCAGGCTGGTATCGCACTCCCAACCTCAGGTGATCCACCCACCTTGGCCTCCCAAAGTGCTTTGATTACAGGCATGAGCCACTGCACCCAGTCTATTGTTATTTTATTATTATTATTTAATTGCATACACTTAGCTAGTGTTTCCAATATACTGATGATAATCAGTTTCTGACTATGTAAGTATGCCAGGGCTGACATAACTAAGTACCACAGACTGGGTGACTTAAACTAGACATTTATTTTCTCACATTTCTTCTTGGAGGCTAGAAGTTCAAGATCAGGTGTCACTAGGGTTGGTTACTTGCCTTAGTCCTTCTCTTTGGCTTGTAGATGGCAATCTTCTTCCTGTGTCTTTGCATGGTTTTCCTTCTGTATATCTTTTTGTCCTGGTTTGCTCCTCTTATAACCACGCCAGTCAGATTAGGACCCATCCTTATGACCTCATTTTAGCTTAACTGCCGCTTTAATCATCCTGTCTCCAAAAATGGTCATAGTCAGAGGCATCCAAACTTAGGACTTCAATATATGAATTTTGGAGGGGACAAAATTCAGCCCAAAGCACTGACTTTGAATGATAAGTCACATTGATCTGGTTTACTTTATTATCTTTTTGGGACATATTTATTACAAGGAAGGAAAGCAAATAATATATTTTTGTGGAATATGAAAAAACAGTTGATTCTTATGTGTAAAATCATGACTAATTCCAAAATAAATGACTTCATTTTGTGTGTCAACTAAACCTGAGTACTTTTTTCAGAGGGAGGTGATCTCAGGAAGTGCCAGTAAGGAGACAGAGAAAAGGAGGAAGAAGCCAATTCAGAAAATGTTGATGAGAGGATCTGCTATTTGCAGCTGTAGCTTTTTTCCACGGGGATCTTTAGGGAGACAGCTCAGAGCATGCCTCAGTTATCTCACACCAGGGACCAGGAAGCTAGGTATCTAGACACAAACTTCCGTCTCATCTGTTGTGGGCCTCCCAGGGGCATGAACTCCCCTAGGAGTTTTTTTGGTTTGACTTTTGCCAGTTTGCACAGTCTGTGGTCACAAGGAGCACCAGATGATTGTACTAGAAACGGTGATGAATACAGAGGTAATATGAGTGAGGCATTATCTCAATATTTTTTCAGGATTAATTCTGTGTTGTTATTCCTTAACTTTGTGATTGTGCTCTCTTTTACTTTCTTTTCTTTTTAAGTCTTAATTTAGTCTTACTGGTAAATGTCACTTCTTAGTGGTTAGTCAAAAAACACAATTTTAATAGTTATTGTACCACAGTAAAACGTTTTCAATGGAAAGCACAATAAGTACCTATATTGTTATGAATGGCAATACAGGCCATAAGCCATATTGGACGTAGAGCGAAATGGAATAAACTGATTAACCACAGTATAACATAATAGTTAGGAGGATATTGGCTTTGAAACCTTGAAACAAAACTGACCTGGATTCAAATTTTAGATTTGATGCTTATTAACTGTGGAAACATGAACAAGACATTCTCTGAGTTTTCTTATAAATAAAAGACAGTAATAGTGGTTTTTCTCATTGGATTGTGTGAGAATATGTCAAGGTCTTGCCATAATAACTTTTAGGTCATCAGTGCTCAATAGAGAAATGATTATAATGATTAAGATAATAATAGCAATAAACAGGGTTCAGGGGTTTAGTTTTGGTTTCTTTTAGTAGCCACGATACACGTGATTATGGACTTGTCCTCCTGATTGGTGTCAGAAAACCTACTCTCTAGTCCTGGATAGCCCAAGTCACGTACTTTCTACATTTGTTAAAAACAAGCAAACAAATAGCATCAAAATCTGTGGTTATTTGCCCTATCTACCCTAGAGATTTTTGTAAGGCTCAACCCTATTAATGAAACTTCTGTGTTATAAGGTGATGTGTGAATATAAGCATTTTTGGTATACTATGCTTAACCTAGTAGTATAGCAGCCATTTCCTCTTCTTTCGTTTTGTCAAATTGAGATTTAGATATGACATTACGATTTTTTTTTCCCTAAGACTATCTCTCTTCTTTGCCACAGACCTTAAGTACATTATACCCCTAATAAGCCACTTAGAAAGCAGAAGTATTACGTTAAAATTTGGGAAAACTGGATCTTCCAATATGTTCAGGTAGATAATAGACAGGTTCAGAGGTTCTCCACTGAATCTGGTTTCATAAATCCTCGTATATTAGTCTGGTTCCTTCCATTCATTATCCGCAGTATCTTCCAGCTCTGTAGAATCTTACCCTTTTCTCTCTGTGTTCCAGATGTAACGTTGTGTGTGATTTCAGGTAAAAATTTCACTCTTTTGCAGACAGATGACCCTAAGCCAGTGTTTGTCATTTTGTGAACTGCACATAGCATTGCTTTAATTAAACACCCTATTCCAGGATTCTTTCTTTTCTTCCCTTTTCTTCCAGGGAACATTTCTTTTCTGCTAGAATAAAATAGTTTTTTGATCCACTTTTTTTGTACAGTACCTTTAAAAAAAAAAAAAGATTATGACTGCTCTCTCTGACCCCCATCTTCCCACAAATTTCAATTTGCCTGCCACTCAAACCCAAAATTAACCTTTCTAAAACCATTGTATTTGCTAAATATAAGCTTTTAGGGAAATTGGGTTGTGATTATAGGATATAAACTGGCAACTGGTATTTCTTAACAATGATAAGGTTTATGATTTAACAGAAATACTATAGAGGTTGAGGTCATACATGCCATCATGCTTAATTGACTGAGTATAGCCCCTTTTTGTCCTGCCCCAAGACATAAATTCCATTCCATTTCAGTCATTTTCATTCAGTTACATTTGCTTCTAATCCCTTCCCATTTCATTCCATCCTACCCCATCCCATGCCATTTAATTCTTCCTAATATACGTTAGGTACCAACCTTGAGAAAGGCACTTTTCTAGGTAATAAAAACCACTCTATGTAATCTGTAAGGTTTCAAGCTGTTGTAGAGTCTGAGGAAATAATTAACATTAGGATAGGAGAAACTAAATTTTAGTTTATTTTTTTCTGCCAACTGTGTTATTCGAAGTTGGCTACTGTGTGTGTTTGGACTAGGAAGAAGTAAAAAATCTCCTTCAAGATACTTTGCAAGGTTAACTCAAAGGATAGCATTTAGTCTCTGTTCTTCACTGGGTAAAGAGGAGGTGGTGGTGGACTTATGTAGCCCTTCAGTGAGATTTAAATTTAGTTGCAAATTGCTGTCCACCTTGTAAATAGTTACTGTAAACGGCTTTGTGATTGCATCCACAACATTCATTACACTTCTCTTACTTTATGTTGCTACCATGTCATTTGTGTGAGGTTTACCCAGTCCATCCCCAGTTCCAGGAGTCCTCCCTGATTAGTTTTATAAACCATTCAGGATCATCTTTAAAACACTTAAAAAATTATTTTAGGCACAAATAGGTGTCATAAAAAGCATAAATATTAGGTGTATGGCTCAATGAATTTTTATTTACCTACATGCCATATAAAACTAGTAAAAAATTAGGGTAATAGTAATTCAACCTTTTCTTACTTTGAGATTGCTTCAGTGATAATCAAGTGACCCAGGATTAAACCAGTTAGGGCATGGCATTTCTTTTAGCTTCAGTGACTAGTTGAAGGTTGGTCTAATGAGAACAATGCATTTGCTAACCGTAGGAAATGACTGTCTCTCCAATCCACTGTGAAGTAGGGCCTGTTGTCTTAGGTATTGCTGATGGCCATCTGGTGACCACAGGGAGTGCTAGCATGAAGAGAAACATTTACAGAGGAAGGTATGGATGTCAGGAACCCAGATTAATCTCTAAAACTCACCCTTCTCTTCGATACTCTTATTGTCTGATTCAATAAATGCATTGAATGTATTTTGGGCTAGATTTCCTTTTACTCAAGACCCAAACAAAGTTAAAATAGTTACCTTTGCACTTTTTGTTCTTTTAGGAGCTGACTCACTTTTTTGTACACAAGCAGCTCCTTGTACACTTCATGAGACCCACAAATATCACTGATGTAGGCCTCAAATTTTGAGTGGTTGTCTTTTCACTTTTCATATCCTACATTCTAGCAAAAAAAAAAAAAATCATCTGGTTTCTAGTCCTTGAGAATAAAACCTCTTTCACATGGAGAAAATATGAATATGCAAAAGGGGAGAGTGAAAAGATTTCCTGCCTCATGAAAATTCAATTTATAATATAAACATAAGTCTTCTAAAACCACAAAAATTTAGAACAAAGAGCCGTAGATATCATGTTAAAAGAACTGGATTCAAGTCCCCATTCTACCCATAAGTAAGTTGTGTGTATTAGTCTGCTCTCATGCTGCTAATAAAGACACACCCAAGACTGGGTAATTTATAAAGGAATGAGGTTTAATTGACTCACAATTTAGCATGGCTAGGGAGGAGGAAGGCAAAGGAGGAGCAAAGGCATGTCTTACATGACAGCAGGCAAGAGAAGGTGTGCAGGGGAACTCCCCTTTACAAAACTATCAGATCTCATGAGACTCACTCAATATGATGAGAACAGTACTGGAAATACCATGCCCCCATGATTCAATCACCTCCCACAACACCTGGGGATCATGGGAGCTATAATACAAGATGAGATTTGTGAGGGGACACAGCCAAACCATATCACTATGTGACATAAGTCAATTTCCCTGTTTTAGTATCTTTAACTGTGAAACAAAAGAGTTAGATTATGTGCTTCCTAAAGTTTCTGCTAGCTTACAAATTTTTTTTTGACTTTTTTTTTTTTTTACTATAAGTTCTAGGGTACATGTGCACAATGTGCAGGTTTGTTACGTATGTATACATGTGCCATGTTGGTGTGCTGCACCCATTAACTCATCATTTACATTAGGTATATCTCCTAATGCTATCCCTCCCCCTTCCCCCCACCCCACAACAGGCCCCAGTGTGTGATGACCCCTTCCTGTGTCCAGGTGTTCTCATTTTTCCATTCCCACCTATGAGTGAGAACATGCGGTGTTTGCTTTTTTGTCCTTGCAATAGTTTGCTGAGAATGATGGTTTCCAGCTTCATCCATGTCCCTACAAAGGACATGAACTCATCCTTTTTTATGGCTGCATAGTATTCCATGGTGTATATGTGCCACATTTTTCTTAATCCAGTCTATCATTGTTGGACATTTGGGTTGGTTCCAAGTCTTTGCTATTGTGAATAGTGCCACAGTAAACATACGTGTGCATGTGTCTTTATAGCAGCATGATTTATAATCCTTTGGGTATATACCCAGTATTGGGATCGTTGGGTCAAATGGTATTTCTAGTTCTAGATCCCTGAGGAATCACCACACTGTCTTCCACAATGGTTGAACTGGTTTACAGTCCCACCAACAGTGTAAAAGTGTTCCTATTTCTCCACATCCTCTCCAGCACCTGCTTTCTCCTGACTTTTTAATGATCACCATTCTAACTGGTATGAGATGATATCTCACTGTGGTTTTGATTTGCATTTCTCTGATGGCCAGTGATGATGAGCCTTTTTTCATGTGTCTTTTGGCTGCATAAATGTCTTCTTTTGAGAAGTGTCTGTTCATATCCTTCGCCCAATTTTTGATGGGGTTCTTTGTTTTTTTCTTATAAATTTGTTTGAGTTCTTTGTAGATTCTGGATATTAGCCCTTTGTCAGATGAGTAGATTGCAAAAATTTTCTCCCATTCTGTAGGTTGCCTGTTCACTCTGATGGCCGTTTCTTCTGCTGTGCAGAAGCTCTTTACTTTAACTAGATCCCATTTGTCAATTTTGGCTTTTGTTGCCATTGGGTTTGGTGTTTTAGACATGAAGTCCTTGCCCATGCCTATGTCCTGAATGGTAATGCCTAGGTTTTCTTCTAGGGTTTTTATGGTTTTAGGTCTAATATTTAAGTCTTTAATCCATCTTGAATTAATTTTTGTATAAAGTATAAGGAAGAGATCCAGTTTCAGCTTTCTACATATGGCTAGCCAGTTTTTCCAGCAGCATTTATTAGATAGGGAATCCTTTCCCCATTGCTTATTTTTGTCAGGTTTGTCAAAGATCAGATGGTTGTAGATGTGTGGTATTATTTCTGAGGGCTCTGTTCTGTTCCATTGTTCTATATCTCTGTTTTGGTACCAGTACCATGCTGTTTTGGTTACTGTAGCCTTGTAGTATAGTTTGAAGTCAGGTAGCGTGATGCCTCCAGCTTTGTTCTTTTGGCTTAGGATTGACTTGGCAATGCGGGCTCTTTTTTGGTTCCATATGAACTTTAAAGTAGTTTTTTCCAATTCTGTGAAGAAAGTCATTGGTAGCTTGATGGATATAGCATTGAATCTGTAAATTACCTTGGGCAGTATAGCCAATTTCACAATATTGATTCTTCCTATCCATGAGCATGGAATCTTCTTCCATTTGTTTGTGTCCTCTTTTATTTCGTTGAGCAGCAGTTTGTAGTTCTCCTTGAAGAGGTCCTTCACGTCCCTTGTAAGTTAGATTCCTAGGTATTTTATTCTCTTTGAAGCAATTGTGAATGGGAGTTCACTCATGATTTGGCTCTCTGTTTGTCTTTTATTGGTGTATAAGAATGCTTGTGATTTTTGCACATCGATTTTGTATCCTGAGACTTTGCTGAAGTTGCTTATCAGCTTAAGGAGATTTTGGGCTGAGACAATGGGGTATTCTAAATATACAATCATGTCATCTGCAAACAGGGACAATTTGACTTCCTCTTTTCCTAACTGAATAGCCTTTATTTCCTTCTCCTGCATGATTGCCCTGGCCAGAACTTCCAACACTATGTTGAATAGGAGTGGTGAGAGAGGGCTTCCCTGTCTTGTGCCAGTTTTCAAAGGGAATGCTTCCAGTTTTTGCCCATTCAGTATGATACTGGCTATGGATTTGTCATAAATGGCTCTTACTATTTTTAGATACATCCCATCAATACCTAATTTATTGAGAGTTTTTAGCATAAAGGATTGTTGAATTTTGTCAATGGTGTTTTCTGCATCTATTGAGATAATCATGTGGTTTTTGTCTTTGGTTCTGTTTATATGCTGCATTACGTTTATTGATTTGCATATATTGAACCAGCCTTGCATCCCAGGGATGAAACCCAGTTGATCAGGGTGGATAAGCGTTTTGAGGGGCTGCTGGATTCAGTTTGCCAGTATTTTATTGAGGATTTTTGCATCAATGTTCATCAGGGATATTGGTCTAAAATTCTCTTTTTTTGTTGTGTCTCTGCCAGGCTTTGGTATCAGAATGATGCTGGCCTCATAAAATGAGTTAGGGAGGATTCCCTCTTTTTCTATTGATTGGAATAGTTTCAGAAGCAATGGTACCAGTTCCTCCTTGTACCTCTGGTAGAATTCAGCTGTGAATCTGTCTGGTCCTGGACTTTTTTTGGTTGGTAGGCTATTAATTATTGCCTCAATTTCAGAGCCTGTTATTGGTCTATTCAGGGGTTCAACTTCTTCCTGGTTTAGTCTTGGGAGGGTGTATGTGTCGAGGAATTTATCCATTTCTTCTAGATTTTCTAGTTTATTTGAGTAGAGGTGTTTGTAGTATTCTCTGATGGTAGTTTGTGTTTCTGTGGGATCAGTGGTGATATCCCCTTTATCTTTTTTTATTGCATCTATTTGATTCTTCTCTTTTTTCTTCTTTATTAGTCTTGCTAGCGGTCTATCAATTTTGTTGATCTTTTCAAAAAACCAGCTCCTGGATTCATTAATTTTTTGAAGGGTTTTTTGTGTCTCTATCTCCTTCAGTTCTGCTCTGATCTTAGTTATTTCTTGCCTTCTGTTAGCTTTTGAATGTGTTTGCTCTTGCTTCTCTAGTTCTTTTAATTGTGATGTTAGGGTGTCAATTTTAGATCTTTCCTGCTTTTTCTTGTGGGCATTTAGTGCTGTAAATTTCCCTCGACACACTGCTTTAAATGTGCCTCAGAGATCCTGGTATGTTGTATCTTTGTTCTCATTGGTTTCAAAGAATATCTTTATTTTTGCCTTCATTTCATTATGTACCTAGTAGTCATTCAGGAGCAGGTTGTTCAGTTTCCATATAGTTGAGTGATTTTGAGTGAGTTTCTTAATCCTGAGTTCTAGTTTGATTGCCCTGTGGTCTGAGAGACAGTTTGGTATAATTTCTGTTCTTTTACATTTGCTGAGGAGTGCTTTACTTCCAACTATGTGGTCCATTTTGGAATAAGTGTGATGTGGTGCTGAGAAGAATGCATATTCTGTTGGTTTGGGTGGAGAGTTCTGTAGATGTCTATTAGGTCCACTTGGTGCAGAGCTGAGTTTAATTCCTGGATATCCTTTTTAACTTTCTGTCTCATTGATCTGCCTAATGTTGACAGTGGGTTGTTAAAGTCTCCCATTACTATTGTGTGGGAGTCTAAGTCTCTTTGTAGGTCTCTAAGGACTTGCTTTATGAATCTGGGTGCTCCTGTATTGGGTGCATATATATTTAGGATAGTTAGCTTTTCTTCTTGAGTTGATCCCTTTACCATTATGTAATGGCCTTCTTTGTCTCTTTTGATCTTTGTTGGTTTAAAGTCTGTTTTATCAGAGACTAGGATTGCAACCCCTGCCTTTTTTTGTTTTCCATTTGCTTGGTAGATCTTCCTCCATCCCTTTATTTTGGGCCTATGTGTGTCTCTGCACGTGAGATGGGTCTCCTGAATACAGCACACTGATGGGTCTTGAGTCTTTATCCAATTTGCCAGTCTGTGTCTTTTAGTTGGAGCATTTAGCCCATTTACATTTAAGTTTAATATTGTTATGTGTGAATCTGATCCTGTCATTATGATGTTAGTTGGTTATTTTGCTCGTTAGTTGATGCAGTTTCTTCCTAGCATCGATGGTCTTTACAATTTGGCATATTTTTACAGTGGCTGGTACCAGTTGTTCCTTTCCATGTTTAATGCTTCCTTCAGGAGCTCTTTTAGGGCAGGCCTGGTGGTGACAAAATCTCTCAGCATTTGATTGTAAAGGATTTTATTTCTCCTTCGCTTATGAAGCTTAGTTTGGCTGGACATGAAATTCTCGGTTGAAAATTCTTTTCTTTAAGAATGTTGAATATTGTCCCCCACTCTCTTCTGGCTTGTAGTGTTTCTGCCGAGAGATCCGCTGTTAGTCTGTTGGGCTTCCCTTTGTGGGTAATGCGATGTTTCTCTCTGGCTGCCCTTAACATTTTTTCCTTCATTTCAACTTGGTGAATCTGACAATTATGTGTCTTGAAGTTGCTCTTCTCGAGGAGTATCTTTGTGGTGTTCTTTGTATTTCCTGAATTTGAATGTTGGCCTGCCTTGCTGGGTTGGGGAAATTCTCCTGGGTAATAACCTGCAGAGTGTTTTCCAACTTGGTTCCATTCTCCCCGTCACTTTCAGATACACCAATCAGACGTAGATTTGGTCTTTTCACATAGTCCCATATTTCTTGGAGGCTTTGTTCATTTCTTTTTACTCTGTTTTCTCTAAACTTCTCTTCTCTCTTGATTTCATTCATTTGATCTTCAATCACTGATACTCTTTCTTCCAGCTGTTCGAATCAGCTACTGAAGCTTGTGCATTTGTCACATAGTTGTCGTGCCATGGTTTTCATCTCCATCGGGTCATTTAAGGGCTTCTCTACACTGTTTATTCTAGTTAGCCATTTGTCTAATCTTTTTTCAAGGTTTTTCACTTCTTTGTGATGGGTTCAAACTTCCTCCTTTAGCTCGGAGAAATTTGATCATCTGAAGCCTTCTTCTCTCAACTCATCAAAGTCATTCTCCGTCCAGCTTTGTTCCTTTGCTGGTGAGGAGCTTCGTTCCTTTGGAGGAGAGGCGCTCTGATTTTCAGAATTTTCAGTTTTTCTGCTCTGTTTTTTCCCCATCTTTGCGGTTTTATCTACCTTTGGTCTTCGATGATGGTGACGTACAGATGGGGTTTTGGTGTGGATGTCCTTTCTGTTTGTTAGTTTTCCTTCTAGCAGTCAGGACCCTCAGCTTGCAGGTCTGTTGGAGTTTGCTGGAGGTCCACTCCAGACCCTGTTTGCCTGGGTATCAGCAGCGGAGGCTGCAGAAGAGTGAATATTGCTGAACAGCAAATGTTGCTGCCTGATTGTTCTTCTGGAAGTTTCATCTCAGAGGAGTACCCGGCCATGTGAGGTATCAGTCCGCCCCTACTTGGGGGTGCCTCCCAGTTAGGCTACTCGGGGATCAGGGACCCAGTTGAGGAGGCAGTCTGTCCATTCTCAGATCTCCAGCTGCATGCTGGGAGAACCACTACTCTTTGCAAAGCTGTCAGACAGGGACATTTAAGTCTGCAGAAGTTTCTGCTGCCTCTTGTTTGGCTATGCCTTGCCCCCAGAGGTGGAGTCTACAGAGGCAGGCAGGCCTCCTTGAGCTGTGGTGGGCTCCACGCAGTTCAAGCTTCCTGGCCACTTTACCTACTCAAGCCTCAGCAATGGCAGGCGCCCCTCCCCCAGCCTCACTGTCACCTTGCAGTTGGATCTTAGACTGCTGTGCTAGCAATGAGCGAGGCTCCATGGGTGTGGGACCCTCTGAGCCATGCACGGGATATAATCTCCTGGTGTGCCATTTGCTAAGACCATTGGAAAAGCGCAGTATTAGGGTGAGAGTGACCTGATTTTCCAGGTGCCATCTGTCACAGCTTTCCTCGGCTAGGTAAGAGAATTCCCTTACCGTTTGCGCTTCCTGGGTGAGGCGATGGCTCGTCCTGCTTTGGCTCATGCTTGGTGGGCTGCACCCACTGTCCTGCACCCACTGTCCGATAAGACCCAGTGAGATGAACCCAGTACCTCAGTTGGAAATGCAGAAATCACCCATCTTCTCTGTCACTCATGATGGGAGCTCTAGACTGGAGCTGTTCCTATTCAGCCATCTTGGGAACATCCTAGCTTACAAATTACTATGAATCTTTATAATTCTTGAAATTTATCAATGTCTGTTCTCTTATCAGAATCATTTCTATCTTTCCTTCCTTTTCATTCTTTCTTTCATTTTTATTGTTTTAGAAATAAGTATGCACCTGTTAATGTCCTTTATATCCTAGAAATATTTTTATTCATAATTGGTTGATGGCTATGACTAAATAAACTATATGGAATGAGGGAAAGGAATATATAATTGTAGTTGCTCCATTTTAAATTTTGTTTAATTAATTTATTTATTTGCCTACTTACTTTTTAGCAACATACACAATGCTTAGTTGGCTTTGAAAGTTTTCCACTGTCTCTTAGCTTCCACTTGTTGGTGAAGGAGATAAACTTCTCAGCTCTTCTAACATAATTCTTTCTCCATATCTGAGGGTAAACAATAAGATTGCATTTAACCTTGAGCTAGAGAGTTAAAACACTGCAGAAAGTTTTTTTTTTTTTTTTCTAACACCATCTCACTTCCTAGGATTACTAGGAGAGATCTTAGAGCCTTCTATAAATACAGACGCTGCAGGCCTGTTGTAGAAGAATCTCTGTTGGAGCAAACCAGAAACAAAGGATTTGTAATATTTGTAATATTTTTAAAAGCCTCCCTACAGCTAATCCCCAGATCTTTTGGGACCCACTGACCTGTAGCAGACTGTGCTTAAATTTACTTCTAAAAATAGCCTTTTACCCAGAGAGATGTAAGATTTCTCATTATTCTAGTTGTGACAGTCCTTTCATGGCTGATGACTCAACTGTACCCTAGGTGACAATTACCATAGAATTTCACTATGTTGATAGGGTTAAAATTACTAGTTACCAGAATCTGTTGTACTTATCACATGAACTGGTTCATACAAAGTTAAATATGGATGATACAAATAATGTGCATGTGGAAACTTGTTTGTCTATCCCAGATTTGGGGCCCAAACTTAAACGCTGACTGGGGCCAGGTAAGTGATATAAGCAAAGAAGTAGCCTGGGGTAAGATAATAAGGAATGGAAGAGACCATTGCAGCTAAGCAGCAAGTTCCCCAATCTGAAAGGTTTTGCTGTAGCTCAGCTCCAGCTAAATAGTTTCATTTGAGAATCAGGCACAGGGTTGCCAGATCTTTAGATTGTCTTTTAAGTTAAAAATCTAGATTTTTTATGTCAAAATTTCCAGATTTAAATTTTGGCCCATTAAAAATAAAAGCACTGACGTCAGTAAGGTGGGGCCTAAGTCTATGGGGCAAAATTTTGTCTGTAAGCTTTTAGTTTATGGCTGTGCCTATAAAATCTATGAATTCTGGGAAGTGGGGATAGGAGGAAGTTTCCAGGAGAAGGAGACTGACCTTGGATAGTGTGCAAATCAGTGGGCACCATGACACCTCAGCCAAGGAGCAGGGCCCAGGAAGACAGGTGTCTAGAGAGCTCTCTTAGGCCACAGGCTCTCCTGATTTATTGTTTCCTCCTCTCCTAGAATGCCATTAGTCCTGGGGAGCCTCCTGTGCTAACAAGGGGTGGGTATTTCATTCACAAGCTGAAAGAGTGACGTATTTTCTTTTTCTGTTTAATTTCTAAGAAGTGAACAAGTTTATTAAAACTATTGGTACAGCAACTAGACTTAAGAAAATTCATTTCAATGCTTCATTATGTATTTTCAGAAATAAAGGTGTTTATTTCACAAAAGGAAATTGCCTATTGGCTTGGTTACTTTATATCTGATTTTCCAACTAGCTTTTTAGATCATTCGCAGTTCATTCCATATATCATATGTATTACAAATGGAAAAATGTGCCTATGTCAATAACTTTATTTTGAATAATGGTAAAAATTTCTAAGATATGCATAGTGAGGTTTGTAGAGTGGTTTGCTTATTTATCTTTTTATTTTGAAATAATTTCAAATTTGGAAAAATATTCTAAAATTGTCTAAAATAGTCTAAAATAGTCTAAAAATTCCCATATATCTTTTATTCAGATTAATTGTCAGCATTTTTCTATTTGACATTTCTCTCTCCCCCATTTATTATGTATATTACTAATAATATATAAGAAATATATATTATTTCTTTTTTAATTCATTTGAAAGTAAGTTGTAGATATCACATTCATCTTCCCTTAAATACCTCAGTCTTGGGCTGGGCGCCGTGGCTCACGCCTGTAATCCCAGCCCTTTGGGAGACTAAGGTGGGCGGATCATGAGGTCAGGAGATCGAGACCTCATGGCTAACAACGGTGAAACCGCGTCTCTACTAAAAATACAAAAAAAAAAAATTAGCCGGGCGTGGTGGCGGGCGCCTATGGTCCCAGCTACTCAGGAGGCTGAGGCAGGAGAATGGCATGAACCCCGGAGACGGAGCTTGCAGTGAGCTGAGATTGCACTACTGCACTCCAGCCTGGGCGGCAGAGCGAGACTCCATCTCAAACAACAACAACAACAACAGCAAACAACAACAACAACAACAAACACTTCAGTCTCAGTCTTTATTTACTAAGAATAAGAACAATCTCTTATATTAACTCAGTATCATCAAAATCAGAAAACTTAACAAAATTCAACATTTAATCAAATACATTTATCTTATCTATAATACATGTTCAAATTTGCTAATTGTACAGTTAAGGTCCTTTAGAGCATTTTTTTTTTCATCCCAGAATCTAATTTATGATCATGCATTGCATTTTCTTTGTCATGTCATTTTAGTCTCCTTTAACCTGGAGGAATTTTCCAGCCTTTTTGTTGTTGTTGTTCTTTACAGGGGTCCCCAACTCCCAGGTCACGAACCTGTGTGGGTCTGTGGCCTGTTAGGAACCAGGCTGCACAGCAGGAGGTGAGCAGCTGGTGGGCTAGCGTTACCACCTGAGTTCCGCCTTAAGTCAGATAAGCGGTAGCATTAGATTCTCATAAGAGCACAAACCCTATTGTGAACAGGGCCTGTGAGGGAGCTAGGTTTTCTGCTTTTTATTAGAATCTAACTAATGCCTGATGATGTGAGGTAGAACAGTTTCATCCCAAGAGCAACCCGTCCCCTAAGCCTGGCAGTGGAAAAATTGTCTTCCACGAAACCGGTCCCTGGTGCCAAAAAGGTTGGGAACTGCTGCTCTATGATATTGACATTTTTGAAGAATACCAATCATTCATTTCATAAGTTATCCCTCAATTTGGATTTGTCTGAAGTTTCCTCATAATTATGTCCAAATTATGTCTTTACTGCATAAATGATGTGTCCTTCTCAGTGTGTTATTTTAGAAGGCTCATGAAGTCATTTTTCTCTTACTTTTGATCACTTGGTTAATACCCGATCACTTAGTTTACACCAAATTTCTCCACTCTAAAATTACTGTTTTCCTTTTTTATCTTAAAAGTAGTTCAAGAAGAGATACTTTTTGGGTATGTAAATATCCTGTTTCTAATTAAACTTTCACTTACTAGGCTTAGTGTCCATTGATGATTCTTGCCTGAATCAATTATTACAATCAATTGTAATGGCTGCAAAATGGTGATTTTCTAACTGTACCATTTTTCGCTATGTTTATTAGTTAACCTTCTACTCGCTTTCTTTATTTTTCCTTATTTATGTATATCAGTATATACTGATTCTTATTTTATCTATAGATTATAATTCATTACTATCATTATTTATTTTGGTATTTAAGTGTCCGAGTATTGATAAAATATTTTAAATATTATGATTGCTCCAAAATTCAATAATGTATACTTTACTACAAGATAGATGGTGCATAAATTGGAGAAGTAGTTCAGTCTCTTTTATTTACACCTCTAGATGTATTTCCATCCTTGTTCACCTTGCTGACTATCCCTGGAGCCTAAACTATATGAACTGCATCCATGGGTTCCTTTGTCCAATGGTTTCTAGATGGGGTTGGCCCATGAGAAGTGCCCATAGGCATTTGGAGGGAAGGAGGAGAGTGAGATTCCGTATTTGTTTATCAAATGTCATCGCTAAAAGGAATTTTACTTTTCTAAGTATTTTGAATTTTAAAATTATACAGTATAGAGCTGAGGGTTGGCAGTTATTTTCTCTCAGCACTTGGAAAATACTTATACTGTCTTCTGGTTTCAACTGTTTCTGGTAAGAATTCTGCTGTCTATAAATTTAGTTCTTTGTTCTTTAAAGGTAAACTATCTTTTATTCTGGTTTCTTTTAAGATATTTCCTTATCTTTGGTGTTTTGCGGTTTCTCTCTGATACGTCTAGGTATAGATTTCCGTTTTAGTTATCTTGTTTAGGATTCATCTTACTTCCTAAACTCAGTACTCAAATCTTTTGTTATCTAGAAAAATTCCAGGTATTTTCTCTTTCAATATTGCATTTCCTTACTTTTCTTAATTCTCTCCTTTTGGCAATACTTTTATAAATAGTTTGGAGCGTCTCATTTATTCTTCTTGACTCAAACTTTTTTATTTGTATAAATTTATGGGGTACACATTCAATGTTGTTACATGCATAAATTGTGTAGTGGTCAAGTCAGGGTCTTAGGGTATCTATCATGCAAATAGCAGCTTTTCTATATTTTAGCCACATTTTCTGTATTTTTTCTGTCCTTCATTCTAGATAATTTCCTCAAATCTACCTTCCAGTTCACTGATCTTTATTTTAACTTTGCTTAATCTGCTATTTACTCCAGCCACTGCATTTTAAATTGCAATGAATGTTTTTTCTTTTCAGAATTTCTATTTGCTTTGTTTCCAAATCTCTCTTGTTTGACTCATGTTAACATTTTAAACATACTCATTTTATAGTTTCCGTCACACACTTGACTTTCTGAGGGTGTTTATGCTAATATTTGTTCTAGCTTTTGATTCTTGCTCAGGAGATTGTATTTTGAAATTTTCAGATATGATCTTATGCTCAGTTGTGATTTTGCGATGGGAAAAACTGTGATGCCTCTAGCATGGTTTTGCACTTGATTTTTCCAGAAGCCCCAGGGTTCTCAGTATCCTGGCATACATTTTTATTTAATTTTCAGTTTGGAGATTTATGAACCTCATAAATAGCATAAATTGGAATTTCAAACTGACAAGAGATATAGGGCATTGTTATGAGTCTTACCTCAGTTCTAGGTAAGATTTGCTGATGGCACCCTGTGCAGGCAAATGATTTGTTCTAGTCTGTAGCTTCACTCAGAATCTTACTATGGGGTCTAATTTAGTACATGAAGGCTCAATTTCAAATCCTTGCTTTTTCTAGTACCAAGTATTTTCTCCTTAGTTTTTAAATACTAGCATTCAGATGATACCAATAATTCTGCATAGGGAAGCTGCAGCCTTATGCATTTACTATGCTATTTTTGTTTTGTTTTGACCTGAATGAATTTCCTTTCCTTCTCTGGGAGCTCAGTTAAGAATTCAAAAATATTTTAAAGTAGCTTTCTGAGATATAATTGATCTACCATAAACTCACCCATTTAAAGTGAACATTTTAATGGGCTTTAATATTTTGACACAGTTGTGCAGCCTTAACCACAGCAATTTTAGAACATTTTCATTACCTTAAGAAGAAACCGCAACCATTTAGCAATCAGTCCCCCATTTCTCCAACTTCCCGGGCCCTAGGCGACCACTAGTTTATGTTCTGTCTCCATAGACTTGCCTGTTCTGAACATTTCATATAAATAGAATCATACAAAAGTAATCTTTTGTGCCTGGCTTGTCACATAGCACAGTGTTTTCAGGGTTCATCCATTTTGTAGTATGAATCAGTAATGTCTTTCCTTTTTCCTAATTAATAAACTATTTTAGAGTAGCTTTAGATTAACAGCAAAATTGAGCAGAAGGTATAGAGAGTTCCCATATACTCCAGTTCCTACACAGGTACAGCCTTCTCACTATTGATATCCTCCACTATGGTGGTAACTTTGATATAATTTACCTTGAAATTCACTCTTGGTGTTGTACATTCTATGAGTTCTGACAAATGCATAATAACAAGTGTGCATTTTTATAGTATTATACAAAAAATTTTCATTTTCTAAAAATTCAGCCTGCTATGTCTGAAACTAATATAGCTACTCCTACTTTCTTTTTATTAGTGTTAGCATATTATATCTGTCTTCATACCTTTACACTGATTTTGTGTCTATATATTTAAAGTGGGTTTCTTGTAGGCAACATATAATTGAGTCTATTTGTTGATCCAGTCCGACAACCTCTGCTTTTTAATTGGGATATTTAGACCATTGATGTTTAAAGTTATTATTGATACAGTTGGATTGATATCTACCATATTTTTTACTGTTTTCTATTTTTTGTCCTTGTTCTTTGTTTCTATTTATGTGTGTCACACTATTTCTGCCTTTTGCAATTTTAATTGATTCAATTTTCTCCCATTTTTCTTTTCTTGTTTTGCTTTTTAAAGTGGTTGCTTTAGAGTTTGCAACATACATTTACAAGTAATTCACATTCACTTTCAAATAACACGATACAGCTTCACAGGTAGCATGAGTTCCTTATGATAATAACAAGAATGATCCTAATTCTTCTTTCCTGTTCATTATATCATTTCTTTCATACATTTCACTCATACATAAGTATTTAAATATATATCCATGTGCACACACACATACACATACATAAGCAAACACAATCAAATAGATTATTTTGAGCATACAGTTATGTTAGATTAATGAAGAATTAGAAAGGTAGAAGTGTTTATTCTACCTTTACTTATTCCTTATTCAACGCATTTTCTTTCTGTTCATATACATGTTTTTCTGAGCTATATAATTTCCCTTCTCTGTAAAGAACTTCTTTCAACATTTCTTGCAAAGCAGGTCTACTCTCAGTAAATTTCCTCAATTTTCATTTGTCTATAAAAGTCATTATTTCTCTATTATTCATGAAAAATTGTTTTGCAAGGTACAGAATTCTAGGTTGGGCTAAAGTTAGGTATTTCCCTTACCAAGGTGGAAGGCTAGAGTTGAGTATCCCTCTTCGCCCAGGTCGGTTAGACACTCTTAAAACCCCAGCAGGTTAGAATCTGGTAAACCCAGGTCATATTATGAAAAACAAAATTCTCTGGCATATTTATAATCATTTAATTTCCCTTCCTCCTGATGGAAACATGGGAGGACTTTTCTTCAATATTCATTGTGAGGGCCTGGTAGAGCTCCTGGAGGTAAAACTTGCAAACGTGTAAGGTGTCTTCTATGACTGGGTCCCCCTACGGTTTTAAACTCTGAGTGTTGTCTACACTGAGCTTCTAGCAATTTGTCATTTACAGTTCCTTCAGATTTCTTTACCCCAGCCCTGGTTTGTGCAGAGGTTGGAGCTCATGAGTTTCTACTTTGGTAAACTGTGATTTTTTGGTACCCCTTTGTCCATTTCTCCAATTTCTGTGTAGTCATTTGCCCTGTGATTTTATTTCTCTGATGGATTGAAGAAGAATTGCTCATTTTTTAGTTGGTTCAGCTTTTTACTTGTTGTTGTGAGGGTGACTCTTACATGCCAGATCAGAAATCTGTTAATTTAATTTCATTGCTGAGTAATATTTTGTTGAGTGGATATACCACATATTATTTATTCATTCATTAGATGAGGGATCTTTAGGTAGTTTCACTTTTTGGCTATTATGAATAATACTGCTATAAACATTCATATACAAGTTTTTGTGTTGGCATATGTTTTCATTTGTCTTAGGTATATGCTTAGAAATGGAATTACTGGATCTATGGTAATTCTACGTTTAACCATGAAAAAAATGCCAGGCTATTTTCGAAGGCAACTGCACTGTTTTATATTCCCACCAGCAGTGGATAAGGGTTTCAATTTCTTTACCTGTTTTCTAACACTTATTGTTTGTCTTTTTGATAATAGCCATCCTAGTAGGTTTGCAATGGTATCTCATTGTAGTTTTGATTTACTTTTCCCTGGTGGCTTATGATTTTGAGCATCTTTTCACATGCTTAGTGGACATTTATATCTCTTCTTTGCAATAATGCCAGTTCATGTCCTTGGCTTATATTTTAATTAGGCCATTTGTCTTTTACAATGAGTAATTACATATTCAAGATACATTGAGTCAATTACATGTTCTAGATACAGGTCCTTTATAAGATATGTAATATGTTCATTTTTTTCCCATTCTGTGGGTTGATTCTTCATTTTCTTGTTGTTTTTTGAAAAACAATAATTTTAAATTTTGATGGTGTCCAATTTTTTTGTTTTTTTTTCTTTTTTGCTTATGCTGTTGGCAACATACCTAAGAAACCATTGCCCAATCCAAAGTCACAAAGATTTATGACTATGTTTTCTCCTAAGGGTTTTATAAGTTTAGCTTTTACATTTAAGTCTTCAATGTTAACTTTTGAGTTTGAGTTAAAAGTTTGTATATGGTGTGAGGTAGAGTGTCTAAATTCATTATTTTGTATTTGAATGTCTAGTCTTCCAAGCACCATTTATCAGAAAGATTGCTCTTTCCCCATGGAATGATCTTGACACCTTTGTCAATAATCAGTTGACTGTAAATGTGAAGATGTACTTTTGGACTTCTCAGTTCTATTCCGTTGATCTACATATCCACGTTTATGGCAGTACCACATTTTCTTGGTGTGTACTTACTGTACTTTTTGTAGTAAGTTTTGAAGTGGAGAAATGTGAGTCTTTCAACCTTCTTCCTTTCTAAGGCTGTTTTGGTTATTCTGGGTCCCATATTTCCAAATGAATTTTAAGATCAGCTTGCCAATATTTACAAAATAAAGGCAGGTGAGATTTTGATAGAGATTGCATTGAATTTGTAGATCAATTTGATAAATATTGCCTCTTAACAACATTGTCTTTTAGTCCTTGAACATGGAATATCTTTGTAGTTATTTAGATCTTTAATTTCTTTCAATATTGCTTTTATGTTTTTTTCAGTATATTTTTTTTTAAATTCACTTTTTCATATTATTTTATATAGTTTTTTATTTTATATAGAATTTCATTTTATATAGAATTTTTTTTTGAGACAGAGTCTTTTTCTGTCACCCATGCTGCAGTACAGTGGTGTGATCTCGGCCATAAATCTGTGATTTAGTTTGTTTCTCTCAAGGAACTATCAGCCTCTTCTTAATTGTTACCAACAAAATCTCCATTGTTTTTGAACGATCCCTTAGGTTTGAAATTCTCCACACTGTTTCAAATGAATCATTTTCTTTGGGGATGGCTTTAGAAGTCTTCGTTTTTGTGGACTGCCTCTCACCCTGTGCAACATCTTTGAGCCACTGCTCTGGGTGTAAGATGCAGAAAGTAGCCTCTTTTGAACTTTCTTCTCTGGCTGTAGAACTTCCACACTACATCCCAAATTTTAGAGTTTGGCACGTGAGCCATATATGCCAATTAGAGCATTCCATCATTGGCTATAGCGATTAACATCTGACTTAAATGTGGACAATGATTGTTGTTGTTGACGGTGGTAGTGGTGTCATTTGCTTCTGTGTGTGTGTGTGTTGCATGTGATTAAGTTCGTGTATGTGCACACATATTTTCCATTGAGATTTAAACTTAGAATTTTTTTCTGGAAGCATATGAAAAATGATGCTCTCTCTTTTTTTTTTTTCCATGATTGCTGAGATAAAAGGATGTCAATCTAGAAATTCCAGTGGCTATTTTTATTACCATTTGGGGAAATCTGTATGAGAATAAAGTCATCAACAAAGAAGGTGGACCTGAGGAATAGAGAAAATTCTAGCCAACAACATTTAATATGATATGACAATGTCTAATTGCAGCGAAAGTACGGATTTATCATCTACCTGAACATACATTTCTCCCTATTTCTAAACCAGTTCTTCTCCATACATTTCTCCATACATCCTTTCATTGCTTGCAACTGGACCAGCATGAATCGACTTTCGTCATTTGCCCAGTTCCTAGACAATATGTGCATTAATATTAATTTTCCAAAAACATATAAATCATATGTCACATTCTACTTTGGCATTAGACAATAAAATTACTCATTGGTTACAAATATATCCAACTTACTTTGACTTCTAATATACACAAGTTACTAGTTTTCCTGACAGCTTTGGAGGTTGTTAGGTTAGGAGTTTGAGAAGGGTATGGTCTAATGCTAGTTTCATAAGAATTTAGAGACTAGTAATTTTTTTTTTTTTTTTTTTTTGAGACGGAGTCTCGCTCTGTCGCCCAGGCTGGACTGCGGACTGCAGTGGCGCAATCTCGGCTCACTGCAAGCTCCGCTTCCTGGGTTCACACCATTCTCCTGCCTCAGCCTCCCTAGTAGCTGGGACTACAGGCGCCCGCCACCGCGCCCGGCTAATTTTTTGTATTTTTTTTAGTAGAGACGGGGTTTCACCTTGTTAGCCAGGATGGTGTCGATCTCGTGACCTCATGATCCACCCGCCTCGGCCTCCCAAAGTGCTGGGATTACAGGCGTGAGCCACCGTGCCCGGCCAATTTTTTTTAAACTAATGTCTATTTCTTCCAGGCAGAACCTCTTCAGATTCATAGTCATTCAGGGAAAGCGTGTATTTTGTAAAATTATGTAGTTAGTTAGTTCCTAGGAACACCCAATTATGAAGCCCCCCTATCAGAAAGTCTGTTGCCCCTAAACAGCAAAAATCAAGAATAACTCAAGCTTTCTCTTGAGCCTTCATTCTCACCAAGAACTCTAAACACTTACATCCAAGGAAGCAAAGAGAAAAAGACAGTGTCACAACTCCCATAGAGCAGCAAGCATATTTTTAAACAGATTCCAAAGTTTACTCCTATAGGGATCATTGGAAAAATGACACAAACGGCAGGTGTAGAGTCCATAATTGAATTATATTAAGGCATCTTGATTTTGTGTATTGTACTTCCTTGTGTTTCTGAAGCTTTGGGAGCATGAGGCCAGAGAGTGGACTTTTTGGATTTTCATGGAGTGCATGCCCTTGTTAGGGGACTGCTAGGGAACTGGGCCACAGTACAGTAAGGCTGGGCCCCGCTGGAATGACTTACTGTCTTCTCCCAGAAAGCCTAAGAAGTGGAAGGGCTCAGGGAAGTCTCAGTACCCAAAAGAGCTGGTTGTGGGTAATGGCTCATTTTTGTGAGTGGACCAGGATTTTGCTAAATTAGGAAACAGGAGAGAGAAGAAAACAAAGCAAACTTTGGTACCTTGTTTTTTTGTTTGTTTGTTTTTTGTCCCCCCCCCCCCCAGTGAGATAATTCTTTTCTAGTTTGGTGTGGAATCTTGGATAGAGGCCATTTGTCTTTACTGTTCTAGCCTTTCTTTTTTGCTCTTTGCCTCTCTAATTTCTGGAAAACCTCACTGATAGTTATTACTTGTGTATGAAAAATATTTTCTTCTGGTTATTTAGAAAGAATAGGCCACCTGTTTCTCATGCAAATTTCTACACCCCTATGTTCCCCAAGGGCCCTGCAAAATCCCTACTTGCAATTGCTTGTTGAGATAACTGTGTTTAACTCGTGGCAAGTAGACACCTAGAGGCAGATGAGCAAGAACAAAATGTTTTTATTTGTTTCACAAAAATTTTATTGTTTCATGATATTGAGTTCTCCAGTGATTGATAATAGGGACTGTAAAATAAAAAGTTGAGATTTTAAACAGTGAGATTCAAACCTTAACATAAGTGCCTTTAAAAAGAAATGAAAGCTTAGCTTTTGATAACAGCAACAAAGTTTAAGCCATCATTGCTATAACGCTATTATGTTTCCTTTTTCGGTACACTAGGCCCACAAAAAGCTTTGAAAACAGTACCTTTTGTTTACATTATTAATCTGCTTAGCAAAATATTTCTTTGAGATAATATAAAGGTACATTTCAACCTAATCTATGATAAATGATTGCCAAATCGCTGAGTTGAACTGGAATTAATGAACTTTTATTATGGTAGAGTCCATTTTAAATCTTTTTTTTTTTTCTCCAATCTTGTCAAACTGTATTACATTAGGATCTATTTAACAATCATGTTTGAGTCCTCTGAATTCTTGGTGACTCGCTTCTTTTGACATTTACTTGGTTCTTTTTATTTATGTTTACTCTTTTGCCTAGACCTTGAAATATGATCTAGAAGGAATCAGAACAACCTTGAGCAGAGAGAGAATAGTCCTATAGTTTCTTATTATTATTCTACTAACTTTCTAAGAATTTGGATCATTATTCTACCTATAGTGTGACTGCTGTGGCCTTGAGTTCCTCCTTTGGTTTAACTCATACAATTTCTATTATTTTTGTATTTGGATTATTCATTATTATTTCCTGAATACTAGTTATTTATATTTTCCTATTAGTGCTATTCTGATTTCATTTGTTGTTGTTGTTTAACTTTCATTTTAAGTTCGGGGTGCATGTGCAGGTTTGTTACATAAGTAAACTTCTGTCATGGGGGTTTGTTGTACAGATTATTTCCTCACCCAGGTATTAAGCCTAGTACCCATTAGTTATTTTTCCTGATCCTCTTCCTCCTCCCACCTTCCACCTGCCAAGAGGCCCCAGTGTGTGTTGTTCCCCTCTATGTGTCCACATGTTCTAATCATTTAGCTACCATTTATAAGTGAGAACATACTGTCCCATCACTCTGTGCAATGTTCCTTAAATTGAATTATCTGGTATTTTTTCCTTACTAGATTGATGTCATGCATTTTTTGTCAAGAGTTCTCCAAAAGTGAAGTTGTGCTGTTGTTGGTTCATCATATGAGGAGGTACTTGATGTTGTCATGTCTTTTAACAAATGCTGTTAACTTTGATCACTTGGTTAAGGGGGATATCTGACAGATCTTTCTCCTACAAAATTACCATAATAGTTTTCTAGGGGTATTTGGTTTTCTGTTCCTGCAGTAGTTTGCTACAGATAATGGCCTCCAGCCCCATCCATGTCCCTGCAAAGGACATAATCTCGTTATTCTGACAAGGGATATTTAGTGATTTTTCTAATATCAGTCCTTATCCCAAATCTCAATTCTCCCTCTAAGGAAAATGGAATGAGAAAACCAGAAAGAAAAGCACCCTTGAACACAGACAGAAACATTGGCCCTTCAAACTCCTTAGTTAGCCACTGACCTAGAAAGAAATTACGTTGACAGGAAGAGTCAATATAAGCAGAATTCATTCTGCATTTTCCTGACAGACAAATTGTCATTTATCATTGTTTTCATGGATAGCCAAAGAAAGCCAACTCTTATTTGTTTGAGTAAATGTATTTGTGAACAGCTGTTGCTCAAAACTCTACATAGCTCATTTGCTCAAAACTCTACACAGCTTCCATTCTGCAGCCTTGTGAGGTTCCCGTCTGACTTCTGGGGACTTTCCTAGCCCAGAAGCTCTCTGTGCAGGTGCTGACATGCCCTTCCACTGCTGGCAACACAGACCCGGCCAGCTGGCTTCTACTCCTTCCTTTCTTGTCTCTGTTCAAGCCTGTCTTTTATGTAACAAGGGATCTGTTCTCTTACCCATCTTGCCTGATCCTACCATTTTCCCTCTGCATCTTATTCACAAATTTCTTAATAGAACTTTAGACAATTTGCAAAAATAGTATACTGAGTTCCTCAATGCCCTTTGCTCAGGTCCCCCAGTGATAACATGTTATCTAACCAAAGTCTGATGACCTAAACCAGAAACTAAATTCACCTATAGGCATTATTTGAATTTTTCTAGTTGTTTCACTAGTATCTTTTTTTTTTTCTCTCTGATTCAGAATTCACTCAAGAATTCTGCATTTTATTTAGTTGTCATGTCTCGGTAGTCTCCTATTTGGGACAATTTCTCAGTTTTTTTTTTTTTTTTTCTTTTTGGGCTTTTATAACCTTGACATTTTTAAAGAGTACTGGTCAATCACTCTGTGGAAGGTTTCTTAATTTGAATTATCTGGTATTTTCTGCTTACTAGATTGATGTCATGTATTTTTGTCAAGAGTACTGCAAAAGTGAAGTTGTGCCATTCTTGGTTCATCATATGAGGAGGTAATTGATGTTTTCATGTCTTTTTATGAATGATGTTTACTTTGATCATTTGTTTAAGGGAGATATCTGACAGGTCTTTCTCCTTCACAGTTACTGTATTAGATTTCTAGGGCTCCCATAACAAATTGCTACAGGCTGCATGGCTTAAAACAACAGAAAGTTATTGTCACAGTTCTGGAGGCTAGAAATCTGAGTCATGCTCCCTCTGAAGCCTCTAGGAGAGGATCTTTCCTTGTCTCTTTCAAGTTCTGGCAGCTGCAGGGATTTCTGGGCTTTTGGAGGCATAACTACAGTCTCTGTCTCCATGAACACATGACATCTTCCTGTGTGTCTGTCTCTTTGTCTCTTTTCTTTTAAGGATACCAGTCATATTGAATTAAGGGCCCACCCAACTCCAGTGTAGCCTCATCTTAATTTAACCAATTACATCTGCAAAGACCTTATTTCCAAATAAGATCACATTCTGGGTTCCAGAAATGGTATGAATTTTTTTGGGGGAGGACACCATCCAACTCAGTAAAGTTAATATTTCTCTTTTTCCAATTACTAAGTGCCATGCGGAGAGTGACACTAAAATTATGCAAATGTCCTTTTTCTCCTTATACTCTTGCCCATTTTAAAATCTAAATACAATTCTTGTCTGCATAATTATCACTCTGCTATTTGCAAAATGATGAGTTGTGATTTCCACCATTTTTCTACCTTTATCAATTGGAATTCTCTCATTAAAGGAACTGTCTCTTCTCTCCCACGTACTTGCTATTTTTTGTTTGTTTTTTCTTTTTTTATGTACTTTAAAAATTATTTATTTACATTAGTATGGACCCATAGATTCATATTTTATGGGTTATAATCTATTATTATAATAATAATTATTACAGTTATTAATTGGTAATAATTGTCCAAATTGTTAACATTGCTCAAATTGTCCCAGATTGCCCATTACCAGTTCCTGCAAGTTGGTTTTCATTTTTGATGTCTTGCCATGTGCTGATAGATGAAATTTTCCCTGGTGATTCTGCTCCTAATTTTGATATCTCTTTCTGAATTCCCATTGTGCTCTATAGTTAGTGCCACTTTTCAGCAATTAGTTTTGTTTACTTTTAATTTTATCTTATTTTGTCATTCTCTAGTCACACCTCTCAGACTAGACATGGTTTCTTATATTTCTTCAATTTCTCTTTACTCTCAGAATTAAGAATAAAATCTCAGGACTAAACACATAGTAGGTACTTGAATTATTCTAGCTTGTTGATTAGTCTACTAATTTATGAAATCACAATTTCTATTCACATAGCATCCCATATTCTATGGTTCTTTGTCTGGAATTTGATAACTGAATGTATAATGTTCCTTTCTGAATATAACAACATTCTACTTTCTTCTGGCCTAAATATCTAAGCACCTGGGTGTATTTGTATTAAATACTAAGTACTACTGACAATGCTTGCTTGGCTTGAAGCTTCCTACTAACTTTAATTAAATGCACCAGGCAGCTTTTTACTCATAGTCCCAAAGCCTTAATTATAAGAACATACCAGTACACAGAAACAATCAGTAGTTCCTTCCTGTGACAGGGTGGAGTAAGTGCATCTGGATAAATGTTTGCTGGAGGATTAAACTAAAGAGAGCCAATTCTCATCTAAATTTTTTGAGTAAATGTATTTGTGAACAGCTTTTGTCAACTTCATTTTAGATTCAATTTCTGGACACTAATACCAACAATAACTTGATTAAGGGGATTGTTTGCAAACCTACTGCATACCTGCCATGAAACTGCTGAAGAAATGAATAGCATCAATCAATATTGCTTCTGCTATGCAAGGTCAAGTTAAACCCTCGGTGTGCTTTTTATTGCACTTTTAGAACACTGAGTCCACCTAAATCAAAGATGTGCACACTGCAAAAATTTAGAACATTTTGTTTCTTTTAAGTCATTGACCTCTGCAAGAAAGTAGAAGCACATATGATTAGTAGAATTGAAGAGGATTACTTGTCACACATGGCTGCACATTTATCTGCATGGAATCATGGTTTCATATACTCTTGAAAATGTAACTAACATACTGTAACTTACTAGACAAGACTTCAGTGTGAGCAGGAGACTTTATTTACTTAGTTTTCTATATCTACACTTATCTTTTTTAGACAGTTACCATAAAATAAGTGTTTGAGACAAACATCACACTAAAAATGATCTGAAAATTATACTCATAATGATAATGCTTGAGGATATTGTGGAACGGAAGGATATTTGTAGGGTGAGAACTTGATGGATTGGGGTATGTGAGTTTGGGAGTCACAGTGTGGGGATCAAAGTTGTTCTGCTAAATGTAGTATTCTGAGGACAATCTGGGAGGCAGCAGATAGCCATCAACTACAGAATATCCTTTTTCTCCTTATACTTTTGTCCACTAATTGTAAAATCCAAATACGATTCTTGTCTGGGTAATTATCACTCTGCTGTTTGCAAAATGATGAGTGTGATTGAAATTTGCACTGGGGAAAAAGGATCAGGAGGGGACCCATGAAGGTCAAAACAAATAAACCCCGACCAACCAAACAAAAGATGTGGAGAACAGGAATATATGATATGGATTTTGAATTTGATTGCTGTGGGATATGCCATGTAGCTCCTATCCCATAACCAGCAGTTTTTTGGGCAAATTCTAAGACACAAATACTTGGCACAGTCAGAGTTTTGCTCATTTTGTTTCATGCAACTGTGATGTATGGAACTCATATTTGAAAGCAATTGTTCAAGAGGTAGAAGAGACCACAAGAAGGAAAGCTTTCCTCTTTCTACTTTACAATTGCCTTGTGTTTTTAAATTCTGAGGGTGTGAAATGGGCTATTGAGCTAATCTTACTTTGCTCCTGAGGAATAGTGAGGAAATGTGCTAGCTGATATTACATTCAAAATACAGAGTTAGGTGTTATTACTATCATCCTATTTTACACATAAAAGAAATGAAACTTAGAAAAATGGTGTGCAAATGGCTACATTTGAATCCAGGCTGTCTACCTCTAAAGCCATTCTGCTAACCTAATTTCTAGGGTTTAGAACACAGTAAGTTCTCAATAAGTGTGAATACAATTGTATGAGTAACAGGTTGAGGGACTCTTTTAAACAGAACATTTTGCTGCTGATAATAGGGGCAGGGTGGTGACAGGCACAAAGTCACAGTGCTCACTTTTAGCACAAATGAACTAATGTATGCCTCAGAAGAGTCCTATGCAGTGGTTGATGTAAAGGAACAAAGTAGCCTGCCAAGGTTCCAGGAGTTTCAGTGGTAAACCAGGGATCTGAATGCTCTGAATGCAGGCAGCCTGGCTCTAGAATCTGTGCTCTGAACTGTGTCCAATGTACCCTGACCTTCAGAAGAATGTTTACATTTGATGAAGAGGCACTAATCAACAGATGAGTTGCTATAATCATCCCAATAAATGCTCTAGTTAGTAGTCAAATAGAACTATCAATAGAAGAAAGTCTATTGGTGTCCCCTGGAGGGACACAAAAGTAAATTCCCCGAAGTTCAGGCAGACTTAGAGGCAGTATTCTTCATTCTATCCCTCCGTTTTGTAGAGTTCACCTCTCCCTGACTATGCTGGCTTCATTCATATTAAGATAATGAATCATGGTGATGTTGACTCCAGCTAGAATAATTATTCTCGACATGCCTTCATTTTTTAAAAGAGGCTGTGTTAGGAGAACCAGAGAACCACTCCAATTAAAGTCCAATTTTCTATCTTTCCAGCACTCTTCCTTAAACTGGAGAAGGGAGGAAAAAAGACCAAGTGCCCTGCCCTAGTTATTGAGGTGAATAAATCCCAGCTGTCAGAGAGCAAACCTCTTTTACTTTGGTTCCAAACCTCCATGGATGTATATTTCACCTGGTCTTTTTTTCCCTATCCTTAGCCTTATTTCCTCATGAGTGCATCAGCTCACACAAAGATTCTCTTTCAAATGAGGTGGCAGGTCCATGAGTTCCCTGTGGCTGTTCTCAATGATGACTTTCGCAATCAGGACATTGGTGAGGAGATCTACTATTCCTCCTTAATTCCAGCCTAGTCAAACTGTGCAAGGACTTGTTTGTAGAAAATAATAGACAATCACTGCTATAGAAAAAGATGGGTGGCTTTTAAGGAGTTGATTAACATCAAACCATATTGCTTAAAACAATTGTGGGAAGGGTGTTGGTAATGGTAAAAACATAAGCTGCCGATTCTTGCTTTGTCTTCTTTTACTTGGCTGCTGTCATAAGCAATAAAACTTTTGTGTGACTACTTGGCATTGCTGTAGGTGAGAACTAGAAAACTTGTGTCCCCTTCCTGTCTCTGCCCTTGATTTATCACCTAAGGAAAACATTAACCACAGTATGCCTCTTTTTCTTCCCTTTTCTAAGAAAACAAAAATGATATTACTTGGGCAGGTTTGGTGTACTTTTCCTATTGTGACCCAAACTGCTTTGCACACATGGGGCTCTAAATTGTCATATAAAACTGGAAAACAATGAGAGACTGGCCCTGATAGGGAGTTCTCTAAGTGACTGAATGAATTCAACACCTAAACTGGACTATTAAGATTGACTTTGGCCATTCCCAACAGATGGAAGCCTAGATCCTTTGAGAATAGGAGAGCTCTGAAATCATCTCTTCCATTCACTGCACAAATGGTATCAGCACACCTTTGTGCAGTCCATCTGGTCAACTCTTGGGCCTAAGCAACTCTTTATTTTCAGGGAGAAAGAGAAATACTAAAAGAACAAGCAGTTTGGAATAGATCACTCATTCATGTAACGTATAAACACATAAGTGAAACTGCCTACACAGATTCTGGTTGGATTAGAAAGTGATCATTGTGGAATGCTGTCACTTGAGAAATGCTGCTACATCTGTTCCTTTGATTTCAGGATGTTGTCCTTAGAATAGTTCACCTTAACCCAATTCTATGCTACGCAGGAATGATTTTTGTGTAGGTGCCAAGAGAAGGAGTACCACATACACATAGGGTGCAGAAAGGGGACACCACATGACTCTGCCTGTGCTTTTCTATCTTGTCTGCAAATGGCCATCACAACAGGTCATTCCATGTGTGGAATGGCAGGGCCTTACTGACTGGAGCAGCAGCAATAAAACTTTTAGCATACTTTGCTACCCCTGTTTTGTTTTGGTTTTCATATTTTATGAGAGGAGGACACAATCATTATTTTCTCATATTTTACAAATTTAAGTACAACTCAGTGACTACCCAGATCTTAGGTGGTTTTCTCGTCCCTCCTGACCTTTCTAGAAGCTCAAGGATTCAAAGCCAAGTTGTTTTCCACATAGTGAGATCAATAAATATTACTAGTGCAATGAGGTGTTCAGTCACTACACTACCTATTTAAACTCCCATTAGTTACAGTTTTAGTTGTTAAGCATCATTACATAAGCATTCTCTGGCCTCAGCATCTAACACTTCAAAGTCATGCAAATGCTGGTTCATGAATTCTGATAAATATCTACAAATAATTCTGGGTGTAGGACATCATGTTTTTCAATCAGAATAAGAACCTGTCAAGGATAGCTCATTGTAATTAGGTATAAATATTGAAAACTTTGGCAACTGGGAAAAACATATGCCAGTGTGCTTATTGGCAAGCCCTGTTGTAAATAATAGGGTATCTAGATGATGATCAGTACATAAAGTGTTGTTTGTAGTCCTTAGGAGCTATTGGTCAAAGATATTAGATGTGTCGACAAGTAATACATGAAGGCCCATATGAGTTAAGTGGTCAATGTGGAGGAGATCAAGAGGTTCAAGGCTGAGCTCTTGTCCATAAAAAAATGCATAATCTTAATAGTCCAAAGTGCAGCAACAATTTTGGAACCAAAAGACCAACAAGAGTTGAGGAGTTAGGTGCAGAGACAAGGAACCAGCAGAATGAGAACCATGATTTATATTGACCCAGGCAAAGGACCTTTAAGGTCTCTTATCAGAACAGAAGATACTCCCAAGTGGATTTGCCTCACAGCCTGCAAAGAGGTTGTATATCATCTTCTAGCAATCAATGCAGTCTCTGTTTCATTTATAGTAAACATGGGTGGATTATCTTCCTTTTGTAACCAGCTCCTTAGAAGCAATTTATTTAAGCTAAATTTTGTATTAGCCACAAGTTTTAATTCTAATTTTTCAGCATCTTAGCTTATAAACCAACTTTTATGCTATATATATATATGGACAACTAGATCCTATCATGTTTCACTTCTCCAAAACAGGATCAACATTTTCAAATAAACTCATGGAGATATGGAGCTGGAAGACAATTTAGGAACTCATTATATATGACAGACTTTGAGAAATTATTTATGTAGTACAATATAGAAATATCTTACAATACAGAAATAATCTAAATATTATAGATAAAAGTGATACTTTAGCTTTTATTGTGCAGATAAATTTGTCTCAGTTCTTTATTTCACTTTGTATGCAGAGACCAGCTTACTTTTTATGTGGTCAGATGGTATAAATTTCATTCTTTTAATCTGGTATCCTAAATCAATAATTTCTGCCTTTTAATAATTTCTTTTTTAATGGTGTTGTCTTTCAGAATTGAGGTAAATTTTTTGAAACTGTTTTATTAAAATCATAAAAGGAAAGAAGTAAGTGAATATATAGCAAACATCAATCTATGCAGGACAATTATCAAGAAAATAAATATAGCTGAATGTGAAGCGATCTTAGAAATGCCTTTATAAACCACAATATTGCCTCACATACATTTAATAGAAACCAGTTTTCTCTCATTATTATGTAATAATTATTATTACATAATCTCATTATTATGTAATAATTATTACATAATCTCATTATTATGTAATAATTATTATTACATAATCTCATTATTATGTAATCTCAATATTATGTAATATCCATGCAGTGCAAAAATATATACATGACTCTAAACTAAGTGTTATCGTGTCTAAAATCTGATAATATCAGGCTAATGCAGCATCTAATTCGAAGAAGGATTATTTCCCACAGATACATAAGTATGATCCTGTCCTGAGATGTACATAAGATTGTATCAGATAGGTGTACACAGTTAATATAGTGAATTATAATAAATGAATGGTTGCTATTTTATTAAATTGATAGACAAGACTTTTATTGGAATGACATAGTTTAACTTACAAAATTCCATCACTGGGAAAGTTTTAGGTTGACTTCATCTGAAAAGGGATTACAATTATTCAGTTTGTCAGAACTACCCTCTCCCAACGACAAACAAAAGGATTGGGCACTTGAATTAAGTTTAACTTCCAAAAGCTACCTAATAAATTATTAAAGTCTACTCTTAAAAGTGCTTCCATAGAATTGTGACTTTCAAAATATTGGTGAACATGGAAGAGGAAGGAAGCTTCAACAGCTTGAAAATACATAGTTGTTTCCCTTTTTAAATTTAGAGAATGAATAAAAAGGCTACGTGTAAAGACATATTGTATTAATCAACTAATAGTGATAGAGGCACAATGTGCCCTGGAAAATTATTCAAGATGCTGGGAACGACAGACTCTTCAACTTGAGTGAATACTTACATTTACATGAATCAAGAGACCTTGAGAGTTCCTTTTTTTTTTTTTTTTTAATTTTTTCTTAACAGGGAAGGCTCAAGTTAAAGCAGGAAAATAATCTACCCTTTCAAATTAAGGCTGAGAAGGAGATGTTATGGAGTCCTTCAGAACCAAATGAAACATTTAACACCCTGTATTGTTGATATAAAATTGTCTTTTACTTACTGTGGATATGGGAGGAGAGAGGTTTTGACAGAGGCCTCTTAAAATAGACTCACTAGAAATTCATCAGGGTCAGGTTAACCAGCTAAATGAAGAAAAAAAGAATGTTCCAACAATAATGGTGAATACAAATACAGAAATATACTACTGGTGAAGATTTTTCTTTTAAAATACATGTTCAGAGGTTCTGAAACAGAACAGTGTTTCCTATGCCTGGGTCCATTTCTCTTCTTTCTCTGTTAAGTAACGTCTCTGTGAAGCTCATCCTGTATAGCATTACTTGAATGACTCATTTTAAATATAGTATTCCTCTTTATCATTATCCCCAGCTAATATTCAGAGTTCTAATTCTATACATTTTTCATGGTGTGAACCTATATATTATTATCTTACTTTTTATAGCTGAAGAAACTTTGTTGTATGATTATATATATGTACATATATGGCCAAATGCTGAAATTGACCTCTTTGTAATTAGATCAACCCATCAGCAATTCAAAGAGAAAAAAACAGTAAAAGTAGAGAAAAAAATACTGTCAGAGATTTTAAAAATCAATGAAATGATCTGCTCTGTTTGTGAAATTAAAGCCATAAATTTTCTTACTATTTTATAGGAAAAGTCCTCTCATCAAATAATATTTCATTAACTGGCAACAGAATATGTGGATTTCAAAACAAAATTATTTAGTTCACTATTTTTCACCTCAGTGAAAGAGTGTAAAAGTAAAGTTTGATTCTAGTCACTAAACTGATTTTTCCTCTCTAGACGTGGCTACCCAAGATGCACTAAAGACATTAGTTCCTGTTTCCTAACGTTTAGATAATGTTTAGATAATGTGTCAACATATATTTTTCTCCTTTTATCTGAGCTCCTCATATTTTACATGGTATAGGCTTCACAGCTCTTTGTTCTTTTCAATCATATCTGAGTCTTTTTTCATTGTGAAAACTGTAGGAGTGGAAAGAGGGTGCTCCCATTCCTCCCAATCATAAAGAGTCATGGCTGACACCCCTATAACAAAAAGGTTCAAAAGAGAAAAGCATAACAAACTTATGTGCACACATGCAAATGGAAGTCATATAAAATATAAAGGCTAAAAAAAAAAAAGACATGTTTGACAGTTAATATCTTTTTCATTGGGAAAACGGAAGTGGAGGGTCTGTAAATGAATGGGCCCAAAGAGCAGACAGTGGTTTGTAAATGATTCTCTTTGGGAATTCAATGGGAACTGAGGACCGACAATAGTTTGGGACAAATTTCTCCTGGGTTCTAGGTGTTCTTTGTTGTTGTTTGTTTGTTTGTTTTATTTTTTGTTTCTTCTTCTGTGATATAAAGTTTTAATCTTCTCTGGTTAATGAAATTTCAGGAAAGGGAGGAAGACACTTGTGTTCTTCTCTGGGGTTCTGATTTCTAGGTAGGTAAGGGAACTTCAGAGAATGGCCTCATTCTGCGCTTTGGGAGGGCTGAGAGAGAGAAGGGTTTCGGGGAGGGTCAGGGAAATCATGAGACTGCTTCCTTAGTTCAGCATGTCAAAGAGCCATATTTTGAGGTATCAGTTTCTGAGCCCCAACAGTACTTCGTAAGTCATTGGAAGCTGCTATGACCACTAGACCAAGTTGGCTTCCATTATTCCTCATGTTATTGGGTCAGTAAGTAGATGGGAGGCCAACTTTGGATCAAAGGAGACGATGGTAAGTGCATATATAGGTACATCCTAAGGAGGGAAAGTCAACACTTTTTTAAAGAGTTCACACCTGTTATCTACAAGGAGAGGATGCATGTTGAGAGTGAAGGGATTGGTGAGCCTTAGATGGTGGTATGATAGAGATGTTATAAAGCTTTCGCTGGCTGGGGGACATTGGGCAAGTCATTTTCTCTGACTCAGTTGCCTCATCTGTGGTATGGAAATAATAATAGGGCTAAATTAAATTGATTATTGTGAATAATAAATGAAGACAGTCACTTAATGCTTGTAAAATGCTTATCACTATGCTTGGAATATAGTAGGTACCTAATATTTATTACAAGACTGCTTTATCTTAATGCTGTATTTAAGTTAGTAATTTTACCTTACTTGTGCAATGCTACCCTGTTAGCACAGTTTTACCTTGCTGTTTCACCTGTCTATGCTTAAGCACTTGAGAGCAGGGAAACAGTAAAATAAAGATTTGTGGCTGTGATTCATCTGAATTTGCACAGCAACAGTTGCAAACTAAATTCAAATAGGTTATTCCAATAAATGCAGCCACACATCAGTCCTTCCTTTCCTGCAGTTTTCTCCTGTGGAAGGCAAATTCCTCGACATTAGCTCTTGAATTGATTGCCTTTCTTCCCATTGGTTCTTAAATATTCCCTGGTTTCTCTCTCTCATCAGTGTTTTCCTCTACAGACTCTTTCCCCTGATCCTGTGAACTTTCCCCATTCCTCCCATTCAAAAAAAAAAAAAAAAAAAAAGTGTGTCCCTTCAAGGAAAGGATAGGATGGGAGTAGAATTCTCTGATTATATATTCTCTGGCTAGAGAATATGTATTTTATATATTATATGTATTTTAAAAATGAGTTTCTATTGTTTGTTTTTCTCTACTTCTATTTATCCATTGTACTACAATGAAAGTGCCTCAAACCCAACCGCAAAGATACCCAGTGACCTCCAAATCACTAAATTGCAAAGGAAAATGTTCCAGATCTTACTTTACAGGAGGTAGCTGCTCCAGTAACAATTTGCCCACTCTCTCCTTAAAGTGGGAGTTTCAAAGGGAAACTTCTTCAACAACTTCCTCTTCTCCTCCTCCTCCTTCTTCTTTTCTTCTTTCTCTTACTCTTCCTCTCCTTCTCCTCCTCCTCCTCCCCCTCCCCTCCCCCTCCTTCTTCTTCCTCTTCCTCTTCTTCCTCTCCTTTTCCTTCTTCTTCATCATATTTTTCTTAGTTGATAGCAATGGCAGTGTTATCAACTAAGGAGAATATAAAAACCCCAAACCTCTCTGCTTTGCTATAAAATCAGTCTATACAATTATGTGGACTTTTAATTTATTTATCTATTTTGGTCTTCTAAATATGTATTAACTATGTTCTTGTTGGGGCTCAGAAAAAAACGATACTGCAAAGTGTGGTGCCTTGACATGCTGAGCACTTTGAACTAAAGAAGTAGCCTTAGTGCCAAGGTGTCTCTGACCTTCTCCCATCCTCCTATCTCTCATTCTCTGTCTTTCCCAAAGCACAGGGAGAGGCTTTCTCTAACGTTCCCTCATCTGACTAAGGGAAATTTCTCCAGAAGGAATGCAGTTATCTTAAGCTCCCTCCGCCTCCCATAATCTCATCAAATAAGGAAGATTAATTCTAAGAAAGAAGACTAGAGTTGACACCATCAAAAGAGCCCAGAGGATCTTTTTCTGAGGCCATCGTCTGTTACTCCTGCCCATTCATCTCCCCTAAAAATCATTTGCTCTTCTTCTAAAAGTGCCTGCAGCCCTCCACTTCCCTCTCCCCTGGGAAGAAGGCTCTATTAGCTTTTGAATCTCATTGGGTTATTGGGTACTTACAGTGATGTCCCCGTGCAGACACTAAGTTTTTATGCCTTTTCTCCCGTTAATCTGTCTATTGTGAATTTATTTCAGCAGACTCAATCATCGAAACTTCAGAGGGCAGAAGAAAGGGTCCCTTCACTTGGCTCTCCTCTTGTGTTCATGCTCACTACCCCTACCTTACTTAGATCTCCGTCATCTTACACCTGCTCTTTACAATATCCTACACACCAGTATCTTTGGCATCAATTTTACTTCATTAAGATTTGCCTTTCTCATTGGTATAATCTATTCAAAATGCATGTCTGTATGTACTATGATTTCCCTTAAGCTACAGAGTAAGATTTCAATTCCTTAGCATGACATTCTTGGCCCTTTGCTACTAGACCATTGCTCATGCCTTCATTCCATTGCCTGCCTGGAATTTCTACTCACAACTCTAAATTCCAGAAATTCTGACTAACTGATTGTTCCCTGTAAACATTATGCTGTTTCCAAACTCTGTGTTTTGTTCCAGCTATTCTTTCTTTCTGGAATATTCTTTCCTCATTTTCTTCACCTTAATAAAGCCTATTCCCTCTTTAGTGCTCAGTTCAAAAGATACTTCAGGAGATGGTCCCCTGCCCTCCCACTCCACATATCCCAAGTTGGATTATTTTCTAAGATTTCGTAGCACTCAGGGGAAGCTGCAATCAGAATTACTGGATTATCAGTGACTATCTAATTATTTCTCACAAGGATATTGAGAGTGGAAACATTATTACTTTCTACTGCATATACTGTGTGTTTTCATTGATTAGTTTCAGTATAAATAATTATTGAAGTTATGTGAATTCTAGCTAGATAAAGCATATTGGACTTGTCATAAAACAGTTATCTCAGAGTAAAAGTTGTGTGTCTCCAAAAAATACAGCATACATAAATCACTGTGAATATTATTTCCCAAGTTAAAAAAAATTCTTTGTTTCTTCCTATGAATTTTTTTCCTATGTAGTAAGAACAATATACTGATTAGGTAATTTTAAGATTGTTTATGACCTTGTAAGAATATATGGAATAAATTAGACTGTTTTTGAGCACCACAAATCTTTCTCCAATAAAAAATACTCAATGGCTGAAAAATTCTAATCCCCCAGCTGCACTCATCTGGCCAGAATGAACTGTCAATGACTGAATGAAGTTTCTGTCCAACTGGTCACAGTCTGAAATGCCAGCTTGGAAATTAAAAGAAGGGGTTTGTTATATGGGACAGATTTCTGTTCTATAAATGCAATAGAGTACAAATGCAAGGGTTAAAAATAAACTTCTAAAAGTTTATAGCTAACAGAGACGTCCTAATATAAAAGTGCTAGGGGAAAACAACTTGAGAAAGAAAAAATAAATAAAAAATAAAAAGAGAATATAAATATATGGTGTGGAAGTAGCAGAGATCGCCAAACACAGAAATACTTTAGAAATTCTCTGGAGCATATTAAGTTTGTTTAAATATACAGTAATCCTATATGTCCTTAAAAGTTTGGTAGTTGTCATTAGCAATAGTGCAAATGGATGCCATTAGAAGCTTGTTTCCCTATTTGAATTGAGTAAAGAGTATTTTTTTTATAAGTTGATAAAGGAAGATACCACTGTTTATTTTTTTTAAAAAGTCTTGTTTGTTATAGTGGGCTGGGAAAACGAGACTAGAAACATGAAATGTCATGCTGATAATGTGTAAAGTAATAGAAACATCATTATTTAATACAACTTTCAGCTTCTAAAATATGATCAGGATTATATAAAAAATTCAGCAACTTGTTTCCCATAGCTATATCTGGGGATGAAAAGACATTTTTATACACATGTACATTTTAAGATTTACAGAAAATGAATTTGCATATTTAAATTAAGAATGAGGTAATTAGTTTTAAGAAATTAGTCTGAGAAAGCTGGAAATTCACTTAAAAACGTGCTTATCAAACTCTTCATAGAACTGTAGAGTTGGGAGTCTAATCTTCCCACTCATGCTTGAATCTCTTTTATAAAACAATAATGCTCACAGGCTTCAAGAGCCCTACTGGGAATCCCAGGCTGCCCTCCCAAACCTCACCTTCACCCTACTTAGATTTTCAAGGTTAATTATTTTGCTGTTTAATTTGTCAATATTTGGTCTATGTTAATCCTTTCTCATCCCTTCACTATTATGAACCCACATTCTGTTGCATAGAAAAAAAGGCCTGAAAGCCAGTAAATGAAGGTAGGAGTAGGGAAAAGCACAGATATTCAGGGAGAAGTTTGGAATGTTACCATGGAAGTTGCTAGAATCACTGTCATCCTTGGCGCCTGCATTTAATCTGTGAAACAGCTCTCTCCACTGGTTTCTGCACACGTCTCCTCTCCCCACTGAGGCCACTGCTTCTAACCTTACATTTAGTTTCTCTCTTCCCAGGGCCTCCCCGTCTCTACCCACCCACCCCCAACTTGACATTTTGTTTACTCTTACTTTTTCTCCTCTCCTTTTATTTTAAAAGTACAGCTGACCCTCAAACAATATGGATATGAACTGTGTAGGTTCACTTATATACAATTATGTTTCAATGAAAGTTACTCTGAGTGTGCCCACCTTTTCTGCCTCTTCCTTCACCTCCTCCACCTCTCCTACCTCTGTCACACCTTAGTCAGCAAGACCAGCTCTTCTTCTTCCTCCTCATCAGCCTACTCAATGTGAAGACAATAAGGATGAAGACCTTTATGATGCTTCAGTTTCAACTAATGAATAGTAAATATATTTACTCTTTCTCGTGATTTCCTTAATAACATTTTCTTTTCTCTAGGTTATAGTAGTAATACAGTATACATAATACATATAACATACAAAATATGTGTTAATTGACTGTTTATGTTATTGGTAAGGCTTCTGGTCAACAGTAGACTATTAGTGGTTTCGTTTGGTGGAATCAAAAGTTATACCCAGATTTTTGGGTGTGTACGGGGTTGGCGGCTCTAACTCCTGCGTCGTTCAAGGGTCAACTGTAATAATTTTCAAAAATTAGCTTAGAACAGAAGAAAAAAAAACTGCACTGATACTCTCTCCTCTGGCTCCTAAATCATAACTTATAAATTAATGAGGTAGCATATAGAATAAGTTTTTCTTACCTTTAAAGATACATGATTTATCACCCATTGTTTAATTTTCTCTTTATTCAAATTCAATTTTTTTATATCTGTTGTCAACATTGGATGATGAGAATTTTATACCAATTTTGTAATTATTTATTTCTTTATGGTATGAGGCTATTGTGATCCTGCCTGGAGAATGATTATGACATTGAAGAAGTTATGCTTTGACATATCTAAACCTCCTTACAGTATCCTTTCTTTTTGCTGCCTCACTGTCATGTCCAAGAACCTCATAAAGCTCATAAAGAATGCTAAATGCAGCTTTACTCAGACTCATTTTTTGTGGAGCCCTGGTACTGGCTGCATATACTCTCGACACTAGTCTCCCGTGAGTACCTGAACTTTCCTCCAACCCCCTCCCAAAACTGCCCTCTATCTTGTTTTCATTCATTTCACAAAAATTTCACAGGGCAGAACATCCAGAAGATGCTCTTTGTCCTATTTATATATTTTTAAAAGTATATAAAGTTTGAGCCAAGGAAAGACACATAAATGACAGAATTTAAGGCAATTTCATATGGGCAGGGGTAATGAGGGTGAGGGGGGGATAGAAAATTTGGGGTAGAGAAGTATTTTCTGCACTAATTTCCCACCTAAACTTTAAGATACATGTTTAGGGGGCATGTAGTGTGTGAAGACTTTAGTATAAGATAAACATGAGCTACCTAAAGTAGGTCATAAGTCTTCACTAACCAGCCTTTGGGAACTCATTGCATTTGCAAGTCTTGTTTGCCTTTAACTTTCTTAAGTCTCTGTTACCCTCTAAAGTATGGATCTTTTATTTGTTTATGCATTTGTCTGTCTCCTGGCATTTCTCAACTTATAATTTTTACTTTTCTGTACATGTAGAGCCTGGAAGATGATAAAATATCTTCATAAACTACATAGCCATTCTGTTCTTTCTGAAATAAACCTCTTTCAATTTTTCATTTTTAAGACAGGGTCTTTCTTGTTGCCCAAGGTAGAGTGCAGCAACACCATCATAGCTCACAGCAGCCTCAAACTCCTGGGCTCAAGCGATTCCCCTGCTTCAGCCTCCCAAGTAGCTGGGACCACAAGTGCATGCCACCATGTCTAGCTAATTTTTTGTAGCAATGTTGTCTCGCCGTTTTGCCCAGGCTTTTTTTTTTTTTTTTCTTAGTGAGACAAAAAGGGTCCCAGTGTCTTATCTGCAGTATTATATGTTATCATTTTGGTAAGGAATAAACATGTGGTAAACTATAGAAATTCATAAATTTTCTGTCTCTACAGACAAAAAGGAAACTTTGGCAGAGTTATACCCAAAGTGTACTGTATCTGGATCATTTTTGCCTTTTAGTAAACATTGAAAAGTTGTTAAGAGATCTATTGCTGTGGTGCAGTCCTTGCTCACATTTTACAAAGTTCTAAATTACAGTTTCTTTGCCACTGTATTGTCCCTCAGCTCCACTTCTCTCTCTTATTCCTCTAGACAACTGTCATTCACTACTCCTTTCTTTTCAGTATTTCACTTATGTTCCAACTTGCTTTAGGCTCTGTTTCTTCTTTGTTAGAAGAATGCTTGGGGCTTCAAAGCCTCTACAAATTGTAGAAAATTGCAAAGATTTATTTTTCATTCAATAAAGCATATGCTAAAGTTTGTATTAAGATATCTGTCTGGTCTAATAACAAAACATTTTCAGATCATCTTTGTATCATTGTCTACATTATGTTCTTCACTTATGTCAGGTTCGTTAGATAGATGTTATAATCTTCTTTTTTTTTTTTACAAACAAAGAAACTTGGGGCTCTGAGACATTGCAACCTGATTAACATCACACCTTGTGACGAGTGAGAACAAGAACTGAGGGTTCCCGATTATCTGTATTGTGTTCCCCCAGTGAATGAGCCTAGGCTGGGAACAGTAATCAAACACTGTTTCCATCTGTTTTGAAAATAAATTTTGGACAAAATGTTTATCATCATAATCAATACATGCATATTGGATTTTCTCTTACTTAAGGAAAATCATCGGAAGGGTGAGGCTAATACTCTCTTTTGGTTTATAAGTGACAAACTATTTCTCAGTAGACCTTAAAAACTTGCTATACCAGAAAGAAAAATGCCACATGATCTTACTTAAATTTGGAATCTAAAAAGTTCAACTCCTAGAGGCAGAGAGTAGAATGGTTGCTACCAAAAGATTGAGATCTGAGTGGAAGGAGGGGGGTTTTTGGAGATATTGGTCAAAGGATAAAAATTTTAGTTAGTCAGGAGTAATAAGTTGAAGAGATCCACTGGATATTATGGGGACGATAGTTAATAACAATGCATTGTATTCTTGAAAACTGGTAAGAGAGTAGATTTTGAGTGTTCTTACCACGAAAAACAAGGTAAGTATGTGAGGTAATGCATATATTAATTCATGTGATTTATTAAATAGCTATTCCACAATATATACATATTTAAAGATATCATATTATACTCCATAAATATATACAATTTTTGTCAATTAAAATAATAATTAAAAAACTTGACACAAAATGCATTACTCTTCCATTGACAGTTGATGTTGAACATTTTACATCTGTAACAGTGAATTCTGCTGCATCTATTTTTTAAAAAATAGGAAGTGACTTATTTTAAAATCAATAATGTTAGAGTAGACATGCCCTTATCCTCTCAGTTAAAGCTCTTAATTCTTTATCCATCATAAATTTCATTCTATACAACAAGCTCACTCAAACCTAAGGGCCTTTGTCCTTGGTATTGCTCTGACTGAAATTCTTTTTTCATAGATTTAGTGGCTGTGTTTTGTCATTAAGTACTCAACTTAGTTGTCAACTGTCATCTCAGAGAAGCCTTTCTTGAAAAACTATCTAAAATATTCTCCCACCTTTGATTATACTTTATCAATCACATCATCGTTTTATAGCATTTATCAATATCACAAATTAACTTATTCATTATTTGTTTGCTTGTTTACTTTCTTCCCTTTCCAGAGTGGAATCTTCATGAGAGAAGAGACTTGTCTCTTGTTCGACACTGAAGTCAGCTTTCCGTTTATACACTGAATACATTTAATCTCTCTTCCATCACTTGAAATAATGAATATCAGTTTCCTTGTCCTTTCTGTGCCTCCTTCTTTCAGAGTCAGCTTTTTCACTTTCTTTTGCCATTACTCCTATTCATAGTTTTCAAATGCCAATTGCCCTTGCCCCACCCCTCCCTGCTTTCTGTGGCCAGCCTTTTCTTAGCCAGTGTTTCTCTTGAAACAAGTTCTACCAGGTATGAGAAGGCCCTTACCTCTCTCATCCAGGAGGGTTGGAGTAGACGTACAGTTATGGGGTGTTAGAGTCCATCGGATTCAGGTTCAAATTCTCCTTTTACTTATGGGTTGACTCCATTAGGTATGTGAACTCTCTAATCCTCACGTTACTCATCTGTAAAATGAGAATCATAAGAGGAAAATTGTAATTATGTATATAAACCTCTTATTTGGGTTTCATCAAAATGCCTACCCTCCCCTGCCCAGCCTTCCCTCCCACCCCTGATGATTTCTGATTCAATCAAGACATTGATACAGGTATAAACCAGGAATAAAAATATCAACTTAATTGCTGGTAAAACTGGACTAGAGAGTACAGATCGTGCTGTCACTAAAATTGGCCTCCTAATACTTTGACTTGTTTAGATGGTGAATGAATGGTCAACTAATTCCTCTGATTATTTATTCCCTAACTGCTCTTAAATGAAGTTTCTCTAACTTTGTCTTTCATGTATTAATTAGGTTTTATTAACCCAGTATAAGATTCTATGCATATTAGATTTCGTTTGAAAAATATAGTCCCATTATTCCAGCCTGTTGATCTTTTTGAATTAGTCTTTGATAAGTAAATTAATTAGGTATTCTACCAGGATTTTTGTCAACTATGAAGTTGATAAACTTGCTTTCCAAGGTTCTTTTTATGCCATTTAATATAAATGTTGATGAAGATATGATTAATAATAGAATCATGGGGCACATAATTAGAGGCTTTGCTATATATGGGCTTCTTGAGTAAGGTTGAAGATATGACCAATTCTTCTTTCATCTTAGCCATATTCCCTCACCCTGTAAGCAAGAATATTGTTGGAGATATTATCAGATCCCCATTTTAAAATATATTCTGCTGTATCTAGAACATTGTTTTTTTATTCCAGTATAGTAACCTTATTTTTTCCAACCTCATTTTTTTATTTTTAGTATACATATAGAATCCCCTAACCACGTGTTTTTCTAAATGCTCAAGAATAATTCTAGAACTTTGTAAGGATTCTATATTAAGCCAGTTTGTATACCAGAAATCTTTCCTTTGAACTATGTAACACTTGCCCAAGTGTCACTTGACTCTTTCACTTGATTCCCCAGAGATAACCAGAAATAGAATAGCAATCACATTTTCAAAGTTTTCTCCATATCCTAAGAAGTAATTTGTATGGGTCTAGAGACTCAACCTCATTAAAAGATTGGGTGTTTACCCCTTATCATTTTCCGTATCTTGGGATCCAATTTCCTTTTAACCATGTCTGTTCTACGCTTTCCGTTGCAACAATTATTCCCTTGACAGCCTGTCTGGAAAAAAATAATTCTGCTTTTTGTTAGTATTTAACCATCTGCCCCAAGCAATGGGCCAAACCTTTCTTTTTATGTGCAGCCTCTTAACATGTAGATAAGAAAATTTCTGTTAATTATCCCTCACTTTAGTGTAAGAGACTTTTTTTTCTATTTGTCTTTGACTTTCTTGACACTAGTCTTAAGATTTGTGCTACTCTTGTATTTATTTATTCTAGGGTAGATTCATTTCTTCCTATACCATCCATAACCATCCATCACACGGAACCAAACCAAGCCAAACAAAACAAAAACAAAAACATTTTTTAGAATATTTGCTCTATTATCAAATTGCTTTTTTGGTGGATATTTGTGATTAAATTGACATTATTTTATTTTTATTTTGTTCAACTTTCTGTCTCTACTAAGTCATGCTTCCTTTCAGGATCTGTGGAAATGGGCTTATATTAATAACTTTTTGATTTTAATGTTAATTCTTATAAAACCTTAACACAAGTCATATTGCATCTAGTACTGTCTCATCACTGTTTTAAATTCTAAGATATTATGGTCATTTTTTCATTTCCTTTGCATTATTTTTTCATTTTAGCTAGAATTAAGTCCACAGTACAATTTACACTGGTGATTTCCTCAACCTTGTAAAAGAGCAAATTGTTGGAAAAGAAAGTTAATAATTTATAAAATCTCAAAATGAATAAGAGATATGTTAATTATTGAGCATACATATATGATATAATGGTATGCAGGCATTAAAAAATTTATTAAAATGTATAAATAATGTGGTGAAATCTAATGAATGAAAATTACATCAAATGATATACTTAAAACAGGGAAAGGCAACAAAATGTTTATTGGGTTCATTTATATTGGGCTGAGAGATCAAGAGTGATTTACATGCTCTTACCTGTACTATCTTATTATTACTTGATTTTTTGTTGCTACAGAACCAATGAAATAAATATATTACCATTGTAAATCATACAAATTAAAGTATGAAAATCACTTTATTACAATCACCTCTTACTCTCAAATCAATTAATGCCATCAGAGGTAGCTGTGATTAACATATTAAGAATACAATTTTAGATGAACCTTTCAGTTTTGCCTATATATGTTGCTATACTGAAGTTTTTCTAACATCTCTTGAGTCACATTGGGTCATTTATATTTTCCTGACTATATTACTGTTGATGATTAATTATTTTTGTGCATGGAGGCTCTCTCTCTCTCTTTCTGGCTCTATCTCTCCATCTCTCTCTTTCTTTTCCTTCCACTGTCCCTGCCTTTTTCTTTGTCTCTGGCTTCATTCATCCATATTTTTATCTCTCAGAGATACTGACTAATAGCCAGATAGATCGACAGACAGATAGATGACGCACAATACCAGTGTTCCACTTTTTCTACCAAGTATTTATTGTTTATATACTGTGTGAGATGTTGGGGCCATATTCTAATTATGTGCCCCAAGCCTCTCAAAACATATCTGAGTGGTATGTATATGTTATTATTAACATGTTAAAAGTTTAAGTGTCCTGAGCTTATTACCCATACTCTCTGAGAAGCAAGCATGTATGTATGTGAAGCTGTAACAATTATTCTGGTTCTCTATCTTGCATTCTTATTATAATTTCTAGACTTATCAACCCTTTCTCCTTCTTTTCCTTCTCTTCTTCCTCCTCCTTCTCCTGGTTAATGTCTGCCATTGTTTATGCTACCTTAGCTAAAAATTTCATTTAGATATTTTTCTTCTTCCTCAATTTTCATTTTAGATACTTTGATTAGACTGGTTATCCCCCTCTTAAACATGCTTTATATCCTTAGAAGATACATTTTATTTGAAAAGAAATTATTCTTCAATCTTAAGTGAGTATTTTTCAAAAACCAGTCTTCATAATGTCAATATCAAATAAAAATATAAAGGCAAATCTCCAAGCAAAAGTTTCATTTGGAAATATACAAAAATTAGAATTGCAATTTGGGACATATGCACAGACTGTGGTGGCTTTTGGTATGTCTGAAGAACAAAGGAGAAGGTAAATGTTTTACAGGGAAAGAGAAAAGTTAGATGAGTTGTTTTGAAAGAAATCTCATTGGCATTTGAGACATTATGCCAGGGTTGGCGAGCAGCAGCAGGTACTAGTAAAATTAGTCTCAAAATCATTCTTGAAGTGGGCATTTGTGATCTGAGTGTGTGTGTGTGTGTGTGTGTGTGTGTGTGTGTGTTTCCACCCCCCCCCCCAACCTTGGTCTCTGGACTCTAATTTAGTTGGGTGTGAAGGGATTGACTTCAATTTGTTTAATTAATTTCAGAGTACCAATGGACTGCCTTGGATACCAACCCAAGTGCTTGTAAAAAATGATTTTTGGGCTTACCTCACGACAACTGAGCATTCATTGTTGGTGACAAGGCTCAGGGATCTGTATCTTAACGAGTTTTCCAGGTGATTATTGTGTCTAGCAGAATTTGAAACTCACTCAGCAAGCGTTGTTACAGAAAATTAAGTTTGTTCTGTTGCACCATTTAGAAAACCAACTTATTTGCTTCCTTTTCTTCTTTTCCCCTTCCCTCTCTTCCTTCCCTTCTTCTTTTTCTTCTTTCGCCTCCTCTCTTCCTCTTCCTCCTCTTCTCCTTTTTTTTTTTTTTTTTTTTTGGGTTTACTTCTTACAACATGCTTTCGTATCCACACCACAAACGTGGGTTAAAGTGGATATAAGAAAAATACCAGGCCCAGAACTGTCCACTGAGGATTCCTTAGACAGTAAAAACATATTCCAGTCTTCTTATGGTGTCATTATTTGTTTTCTTGTGAATTTGTTGACTTTGTTAAGACATGAAATACTCGACTGTGTGTCAGAAACTTGTTCTATAAGATTATCCTCCACTTATTAGTAATTTCATATTCTTCAGGGAGCAACTTTCATTGGATTCAGCATACTTAAGTTCTTTTCTTGGTATTTTTGTCTATTTCAGCTCCAGGAATTATGTTAATTTTAGGTTACGTGTCTATTGTGTTACTGATTTTAGGTAACTTTAAAAATAATTTCATAGAGAAAAACACAAAATATAAAATTCCATCTATACTATAACTATGTAAAACAAGTAAAAGGAAAAGTGCACAGAAAAAAAAACAGAAGGATACGTTAATATATCAAAAATAGCTATCTCTCACTGTGGGTACCATTGATTTTTTTTTCTTCTTTCTTCTACTTTTCTGTATTTTCATTTATTCTCTACTGAAGACATATTATTATTATTATTATTATTAGAAGAAATAAACTTCACTGTTTTAGACAACATGTACATTTCAGAATTAAAATTAGGAAAAAAATCTATTTTTTTCTTAAACCTTTAAAGGTGATATAAGTAGGTAGCCTACATTTAGAAATTGAAAAATTTCTATCATTTATAAAAAAAATTAAGTGTTAATCTGCATACACAATTGTTAATCAAGCAATTCATCATTATTATGGATTATTTGAAAAATCAAGAGAACTAGAAAAAAAATCACTCCAGCTAACCCATAAAAGTAATGAAAACTATGCTTTTCTAACTCCTATTTTATGGATAGATTCTTCCTATTTGATTTAATTTGGCATCTAGTTTTTGAAATTTAATATTACAGAAAATATTTCTTCATATTATAATAAATTTTTTATAAAGATATTTTAGTGATTGCCTAGTAAGTCTTCTGAGTTTCTGTGCCGTAGATTACATAGTTATCTCCTCCTGTGATTAGGTTTTTTTCAGTTCTTATATTGTAAATAATGCAAAACAACCCCCAAACCACCTAAACCCTTTGACTATGACCAATATAACCTTCTTTCTCTGTCTTTTCCTCCTTTTCTCCCTTTCCTTTCTTTTTTATCATTTTTCTTATACTGTAGATTATTTTCGTAAGCTAATTTTTGAGAAGGGTCATTACTTGGTCTGTTAAGATATGTCCCTGGCCAACAGACAAAATGAACTCCCCATGGCTAAATGAGGTGCTCAAAGTTAAAACAGAATCAGGAGGCCATGGCTAAGTGAGGGACCGGTCACACACTGTGTTCTTGGAAAGATATTGTAAACGTATCACAGGATCTCCCTTCCTACAACAAGCCAAAACAGTTCCTGTTGTAGCTGCCAAGATTAACTGTGGCGAAGACCCCCACATCTCACCCCAGTGCCATTTGAAATAAACATCTGACAGATTCTTCTGGTTTGGGGCTTGGAAACCACCCAATCAGGGCTTGGCTATTTTGACCAATCAGAATGAAACAAATTTGAGTCCTTTATTTACATAAACAGACCTGATTGGGAGCTTTTCCTATTTAAGCCTTTGTTCTCGGGAAAGCACACTTTCACTTATATTGGAAGTTGTGCCTCCTCAATCAATGGATTGTTTTTTATAGAAAATAAAGCTCTTTTTTCTCCGTGGATCTCATGGTCTTTTATCAACAGGTCAAAGGGAATTAATATTTTTTAAAAGCTCCTAACACATACTGTCAATTTTTTTTCCAAAAGGAGTTTAAAAGTTTACACTCCTACCAGTAGCACGTAAAAGGATCTGGGAACTTTAAAAATTTTGATATTGGAGACTCTTGACAATAGCAAGGACAAAGTAAAGATGTTTCCTGACAATAGCAGGGATGATATTGGAGATTCTTTTGCTATGTTCTTGCTGAGCATGTAATCATACTGACTGGTAACTTGTCACAGACAAGCCAAAGTAGATATTTTCTTTTATATAAAATCTGAAAAGTTGCTTTTTTGGGGATATTTGCTGGTAAATAGCTTAAACCTAATAGCTCTGATAAAAAATGCCAGTCTCATCCCTTGAAGACATTTTTGATAACAAATCCAACCTGCCAGATTTCAAGGATGCATTTGATGTCAGATTAGGGTGTGTATGTGTGTGTGTGCAGAGAGTGTGCTTTATGGTCAACGTGGTAGCCAGGGCTACATTTTATATAGCAATAATCAAAACACAATTTTAAAATAGACACAGGACACCTCAATTACATGGTACCAGAATGCAAACTTGGCTGAGTGGATCTGTCGCGATATACGCAAAATTTTGCGAACAGAATGAGAACAGTTTAATTTTTATTCCCAATAATAAATGAAAATTGTATTTTTTTGATGCTTTGTGTTCTAGGACTAAATAATCCAAAAGTCTTAAATCTCAAAAATGTTTCGGGTGGTTTCTTCTCAGTGTAAAAATTTCTTGCGGCCGGGCGCGGTGGCTCACGCCTGTAATCCCAGCACTTTGGGAGGCCGAGGCGGGGCGGATCAGGAGGTCAGGAGATCGAGACCATCCTGGGTAACATGGTGAAACCCCGTCTCTACTAAAAATATAAAAAATTAACCGGGCGTAGTGGTGGGCGCCTGTAGTCCCAGCTACTCGGGAGGCTGAGGCAGGAGAACGGCGTGAACCCGGGAGGCGGAACTTGCAGTGAGCTGAGATTGCGCCACTGCACTCCAGCCTGGGCGACAGAGCCAGACTCCGTCTCAAAAAAAAAAAAAAAATAAATAAATAAATAAATAAATAAATTTCTTGCATGCTAGTTTCTCTGGCATCAGACATCATTCTATGTCATGAGAACATTCAGATTTCTAGGGATGGTTCACTTAGATCTGTCTCTTCTTCTATGAAATATTAAGTCAGCAACTAAGCTTGTTTTGCCATGTGGAATAATGGTGGTTATAACAAGTTATTTTGCATTTGGATGGACATGTCTTTGGATGGACATGTCTTTGGATGGACATTCGACAACCTTCACAGCAGCGTCATAGATAAGGCAAGTGAGGCTAGATAATACCACCCCTTGACCACGCTCATCATCTTATAAGAGGAATCTAAAGCTGAGAGGCCTCAAGTGACTTTCAGGTCATAAAACAGAATAAATGACATGAGCAAGGTAGGTCTTCTGACCACTAATACAGGATCTTTTCCCTTTACCCACAGATGGATACAAGCCAACATTAATCCTTGGTAAACATCATTCTAACACAGTAATATATGTTTACCAAAATCATTCAAAGTTGAGGAAGCGAGGTGTTTGTATAATATTAAGAAGATATGTTTTATAGTGAAGCACAACTAAATTTGAATTTCACTACCAAGCAGCATAATAACTTTGGGCAAATTCCTTAGCCTGTCTAAACAAGTGTTTTTGTTACAAATTTAGTATAAAATAAGTCGATAGATATAAAGTAAAGTAGTGTTTGGCACATAGCACACGCTCAATAAGCACATGCCCTTCTTATATTTATTATTTTAATATTATATTTTATTTATTATTAAAAGGGTAACCTAAAATTAGTTTACATATATTAATATTAATGTATTACATTTTACCTGATATTTATGTTAGATTGTCTGTGTTTTAAAAATTGCTACTTAGCCTTACATTTTATTTTCTAATGAAATGTGAATGTATATCATAAGATTATTTATATTGTAAAAATGTAGAGAAATCTTTGTACCTAAGACTCTCAGTCACTATGACAGTGTCAACTGTAGCAAATGTTTTATGAGACTATTAAAATAGAGGGCCTTAGTCAATCTTTATTGTCCTCAGAGACCACAGCAAAACAGATAAGAATTAATATTTTGTTGAAGAGGGTGATGGTAGTGCTTCGTAGGAATTAACAAACTCTGGGACAAAGAGGCTGAAAATATCTAAGGATAAAAAATCTCAACTATATACTGGGATTCAGAGCTAGTCAATATGAGTGGCGAATTATCTTCCATTTCTGCGTGAATGTGGTGTTTATAGGGAAGGAGACGATAGAGGTCAAGCACATTTAAAATCCAAGGGATTATAAACTTCAGACCTGAAAATCTTTACGTTCCCAGTCTTTTAGTCTATTAATTACAAGTGATGAACTTTAAAAAGAGTTAAGCCAGTTAGCTCCTGTGGTGCCAATCTAAAAAGCTTTACAGAGTAGCTGGTAGCTTTGGAAGAATTTAGAAAACATTTAATCAATTCTTAGATTATCCAGGATTTTATTTTTTATTTTTTTATGCCATATGAGACACCACAATAAAAGCACCTCTTATTTCTTAAGTCCTTCATCTCCTATGTCTGCATATTACACCACCAAAGGAAGCATTTTCTATTAATAGCATTCAACTGGCTTCTATGTCAAAGGTCATAAAGTAATAATTGAGAATTTAACTTCGATTGGACTAAACACTAAGGAAATGAATTATGATCTCTATCACCATAAATCTACAGAGGTGCTAGCCACTTTCTGTGTCACATGTCAAACACGAATTGTTCACAGGTGGCTAGAGTGAACACTTGGTTCTTGGTTCCCTCAATAAGCAGTCAGTGTTGGTTTTTTCTCAAGTCTGCTTCTTCCCGTAGGATACTATTTGGCTTCTGTATAAATTTCTTGAAGGTGATCAAATGACTGATACACAATTTTAAAACATCTCTTAGTGTAAGTTTTATAAGTCTGTTGCAACAGGTCCCACGGCATACATAATATTTCTTTTTTTGTCATATGTCACTCAAAATGGAAAACCAAAATCATATGTGATTTGTAGTCTAATAATTGCTCCTTTTTGCAGTGGTTCTCAAACAAGCCTGAATTTAGAATCACCTTTGCTAGAAAGTCAAATTTTCCTTCACTCTAGATTCAGAGCCGTTAATTCTTGAATGGCACCAAGAATTTGGACTTTAACAAGCGGCTCAGGGAGGTTCGGTTGTATGAGTTTCAGCCATGTCTTCCGTTGACAGCATTCAAGTCTGGAAAGTCGACAGTTGATGACAGTCAGTCACTTAATTTTTTAGGTCACAGGACACACCACTGAGCCCCTGAGCTCTGAGCTGCTCACACCACTTCTGGTGATGCAGACAGTTGAAACCATCAGTTAAAACCTGCTAAGCTTATGGAAAATAACACCACCATGCTATGTCCTCCTTCTGTTTTTGCCTAAGAAAACCAACAAGCTCTGAAGCAATTCCTTTCAAATGTATATGGGGTTCTTGTTGCATTAGGAAATGCATGTACTTTCATCTTGAACATACTTTTGGGTAAAAAAAAAAAAAAAGCTTGATTTTCTACTGTGTTTCTTGTTAAGACATTAAAGCAATATAAATAAAAATTGTGAAATTTCCCAACCAGTAGAACTGCAGACTGAGAGCATAAAATAGGAATGAGAACAGGTGAAAATAAGAGAGATCATTTTTAGATATTTTTTCATTAAATGTTTGAGACTCAATTATATTAATATTTACAGCTAACTAAAGATATTTTTTCTTCACTTACTTTATTTTATGAAAAAGTTTTCAATTTTTTCTACCCAGACTGTATCATATTCCATCTTTCGTCCTTATTTCTCTCCTATTTCTTGTATTCTCACTCTTTTTTCATACTTTCCTTTCACAGTTAGACTCTCTTTCCATCTTTTCCTTCATCCATTTTTGTCTCTTTGTTCAGTTTATACAACCATGTGGCATTAACCAGCTAACCAGCCAGAGACCAACATTCAGTCTGAAGATCATCCTATGTTTATAGGGACATGGTTATAAAAACTCTTCAGGAAACCTGATGTTGATGATGCTTTCTGTTAACTAATGTTCTCTGGAGTTGCAGTGATTGAATGTAGTTATTACAGCTCTCCTTTTATCTCCTCTAAGTTCAAGTCTGGGTCATTGCAACAGACTTCTCTTCTTAGCTCCTGGCTGTCCATGGGCTTTGTGCCCTCCTCAGAGGCTGCTTTATTCTTGGTGGATGGAGTGGGTGGTGGGTGGTCTGGAGGTATTTTGCACTTGAATTTCTATTCCCATACTTTCCAGTGTCCAGGCAGTAACTCTGTCGTCACTCACCTTACTCTTTCCTCAGCATCTTATTTTTCAGGTGAACATTAAAAAATATCTCTTTATGTCAAAATCAGCTAATCCTTCATAAACTAAATGCTAAGCCATCTTTTGCCATTGATATTCCTGCCTTGCTTGGTTATGGAGTTTTTAACGCTAGATAATAACATTTTTTTTCCTCTGGGACTTTCAATGTTGAAATTCTTAAAATGTTGAAATTCTTAAAAAGTGTAGATAAACATTGGGGTGGTAGATCATGGGATATAGAATGTAGATAAACATTGGGCTAGTAGATCATGGGATATAGAATGTCCCCCTTATGCAGAATCTATGTCAAGTTGTCTGTCCTACAGAAAAAAAGAAAAAAATGTGTGGGGGGAGTAATTGGTTCTGAAATCAGAGGGGAATGAGCACACAAACATTTCAGAAGTCATCCATCAAGAAATTTAATATAACCCCATCTCGCAATTACTTTTACAGGGACAAGTAGAAATGAAAACCTTTAATTTGGCTTACTTCCTTGGTGAAAAGATGGCTAGAAAACAAAGAATTTCAAGAAACTAGGAAATAGGTAGAGGAGGAGAATGTTCAACAGGTAATAATTTAAGATTTAATGTTAAGGTTAAAATACTACCCAGACCTTATACTGAACCTTTAAAGTTCCAGAGCCAGAGTACTGGAGAGTCATAGATTTCAGTTAGTTGCATTTAGCTAAACTCTAAGATCCTGGATGAGCCTAAATTGTTTACATGGATCATAAAGTGCTTTATGGATGAATGGACTGATCTGCTACAAGACTAGGCCGTGTTCTCTGTTGTATATTTTGCCTATTCATCGTTTTTTATAAGTCTTCAGACACTAAATCTTGGTGTTAAAAGATGTGAGTTACAGAGAGCTATAAAGTTAGCCAGCTGTTCTCAGAAATGTTTTATGTTTAGTGGGTATTTGTTTCTTCAATCATCTAGAAAAAGTTGTCATCATAGTGGGCAAACCAGCTTTTCTTTGTCTTTCTTATGACAGGCTATTGAACTGTTGAAGACTGTAAGATGCATACACATTAATTTTTATTATTTGGTTTGCAATACTAGAGTTTTAGTGTCTGAAAAATATAGTCATATACACTTAACATGTCCTGTTGTAACAATTTTACCATCAACTTTTCATCCTGTGAGCTGCTTCCCATTTTTCCTCGAAATTCCAGTATACTGTACAAAATTTTAATCCAATTAATTCTCACCCTTAATCATATGTAGGATGAGGTAGCATTTGCTTTCACACTTTGTAGAATAAGGGTTTCACAATGCCCTCATTTTCTCTACTCACAAACTATGAGCTACTTTACTCTTTTCTCTTATTTAATATATTCTGTTCCCCAAATCTGTCTAATGTCTCCTCTAAATAAGCATTATTCTCTGAATTTTGTTTTCCTGAATCATTTTTCCAACCTGAAATTTAACAAAAGCTATACACTAGAGAGAAGAGAAAATATATGATGTGTTATCTGTTAGTAACTGAGTTCCCTAAGACTAAATTATATTGGATTAATTTAAATATAGCACAGCAAATTTCTGTAGCTAGCCTTTATACTTCCCATCTTTAAATACAAAGGTTATGCAGAAAGTCATATAATTAAATTAGGAATTCCTTAGGAGAAGGAAAAATAAATAAATAGTGTCATTAATGAGACCGTAAAACTGGAAGGAGAAAAGACTGCATAGAGGTCAAAGGAAATGGAGCACGGGTCATGGAGAGAAAATTCCCCGAAGAAGCATATTTCAGACAACTACTGTTTTAATAAAACTACTTCTTGGCACAAGCTTAAAGTTAACCTCTAGTTACTGTTTCATACAGGATCCAGGACAGGGGAGTATATAATATAATAGTATATAATAATACTATTACCTCCTTTGTATATAATTTGATAATTTTTAGGACCTTCTCTATCCATTAATACTGTGATGTCAAATCCTTCAAAAATGCTCAGGGAAAGTAGGGAACAGAGGCCCACGCCTGTAGTCCCAGCTACTCAGGGTGCTGAGGCAGGAGGATCACTTGAGCCCAGGAGTTTGAAGCCAGGTGTGTTTCAATTCTCTCTATTCTCAGAATACTTTGCTTGAGCACTCCCCTTCCTAGTGCTGTCTGAACACCCATGGATCTCAAGGTCTGCTGCCTTCCTGAAGCATGCTTTGCAGGATAGATTGGTCTAATTAAAATGATTTTGCCAGATGTTCTGTCCTGTCAGCAGAATTGCATGGGGAATTTGCAATAAGACGATTGTACAAATGGTTCTTACCGTATGCCTTTTCTTACCTCAGAGGGGTATTACATGCAGGAGAATCTTTATCAAACATACTGCATAACGGAGAACGAATCTGAGGGACCCTGGAAAGGAATGTGGCATTAAAACAAAAGGACTTTCAGTGCCTCTCACTGCTTTCTGACTTGTAATCACTTTTCAGTGGCTTCCAGACAGCTGCAAGAGGCCCCAGTAATTTTACTGTGTGGTTGTGACGTGTGTGAATGGATTTCGTGTAATTCAGTGTGTGAAATGTGAAATGTGTGTTCACTTCACGCTCAACTGAAGGCTACAATTTTATCTTGTAGTATTGGGGATTTTGTAAGTTTGGCTTTCATGTTTTGTCACTTTAGAAAAAGCTGCTGATAGAATTTACACCTCCTTTAACTCTCACAGAACTCTATAGAGTAAGATTATTTACTGAAAATCATATGAATAATTGAAATAACTGATTAAGATAAACATACATAAGAAGTTGGCATCATGACGATGTCAGAAAGTGGCATTAGGTTTTAAGAGGTGAAATGGAAGTTTTAAATCTCAAACAATTGAAAAATACTCAGACACTTTTAAAAATCTTTCTTACTGGATTAAATTACTTGTTTTATAAACATCTAAGCTTTAAAACGTTTTAGGTACTTGGGCCAATCTCAAAATAAGCTAAACAAATACATTATGACACTTCTTATACAATATGCACAGAAATGTACGGCAGACTAGCAGAATAGGCTTTTTCCCAGATCTCTTAATTTTTACAATTATAGAATTATGCAAAATTAATTTAGGGAAATTATAAAACATAGTATAAAAAAGCCGGAAAAAGTCACTGATAACTCGTATCTCCTGCCCTACCTGCCACTGTCAAAAATGTTGAGAAGATGATATAGTTCTGTGAATTCATTTGTGTGAGGGTATGTTATATTCACATTATGTGATAATATGTGTGATATTATGTATTTCTTCTTTTTTACATCACACATATTTTCCAGGAAGATAAAAATTTCTTTGTAGATACCTTCTCTGATCATTGTATAAGAGTATATAATTGAGCACAGTAAATCTAAACACAATTCAAACTGGAAAACTGTTTGGGGTTGTGTGTTGTTAACCTCTTTTAGAGCAGCATAGAATAATTGTTTGCAGCAGATTCTAGGGCCAGGGTTCTGTCACTTATTAACTGTTAATTTGGCAAATTCTTCTACCTCTCTGGATGTTAACTACCCGGCCTGAAAAGTGGCAAAAACATTATATCCACTTCACTGGTTAGTTCTGAGGATTCAAATAATAATATAATAATTTCCTGTAGAAGCAGAAGTTTCATGGATACAAATATGAGGTTTAATTTTTTCTCCATTGCCTATTTCCAACTGTGATAGTTAATCTTTCTTTCTGTCTCCTTAACATTTGTGGGAGTTTTCAATACTCTGTGATCATTTTCAGCTATCACAATGTCAGTGCAGTTCAGTTGAAAACTTCAATCATACCTTCACCCTCCACAAGTTTGGGCTTTCAAGTAATCGAGAATGGTCTACATTTCTATTAATCCAGTCTGCGAGGGGGGAGACAGGATTAGATCAAAGAACACATGTCATTTTACCTATCTTGGCTTCAAAACTGTCTTCCCAAGCTCTTTGGCTGAGGCCAGTTGACCACTATTGATGCCCTCACTGTGGCAGTAATTCAAGCACTTGCTTTCTCAATGGGTACTCATGCACAGTTCGCACTGTGTCTGCAGGATTTTACCACTGCACTTATTTTGACTCTAGTTCAACTCTTTCATTCCCCCTCAGCTCTCACCAATGGCTGACTCTTAGTAGTTCTTGCCACTGTAATTCCCTTAGACTCTTGGAATGGGATGGAGAATGTTGAGGAGACAGTGCCACACAAACTTCTGTGACATTTTTTGATCAATGTTACCCCAAATTAATGCTGTTTGCAGCTCCCCTGGTGGGTAGCAATGTCACCCAAACATGCAAAGGCATGACCTATACAGTTGGGCAAATAAGAGAGAATTCTCTACTGTTCCATTTGCAAATGAAAACATCCCAAGGAAGACAAACTGAAAATGTTTGGGCTTTGGAATCTGTCAGATCTGACCTTAAGGCCTGGTCCTTCAGTTTCCTACTTTGCGAATATGTGACCTTTGGTATATTGTACAGACCCTCTGGCAATCAATTTCCTGAACTCTGGATATGTAACATGGAAATAAGGAGGCCATATAGTTGTTATAAAGATTCAATGATATGTGGTATTCCGATAAATGTCTGTAACTTCTTTATTCTTTCTCTTTATTCATTCTATAAAAAAGCATGGCCTGTGTCTTTCCTTTTTCCCTCCCCTCCCCTCCCCTCCCCTCCCTTCCCCTCCACTCCTCTCCCCTCCTCTCCCCTCTCCTCTCCTCTCCTTTTGCTGCTGAGAAGAAATGGAAAAGTATTTGGAAACAGGGATAAATGAATGACATGACTGGCCAGTGCCAGGAGGAGAGTGAGACTATCACTGTGCTAGGAGTCAATCACCACATTTGATGAACCCCAGACACAAAGCTTTCTATGCTTTGGCTAGAGTATGGAGTTTTTTATGGCTTTCTCATTTTGATGGAGTATAACGATAAGAAAGGTGAACACGAAAGAAGGGGTCTATCCCTTTTAATCTGTAAGAATGTAACTTCAAGATCAAAGGAGAGAATGGTACAGACTAAAAATTTCTTTCAAATGAGAGGAGTATAAAATGCATATGAATAAATTCATAGATCATCATATAGAGTTTCCAAATAATTCTTGAAGCAGTTTGCAATTTCCCTGGTTATCTGCAATGATGTGGAATTCAAAATCCTATGTCCCTTACTTTAATATTTATAAGAAATATGTATGGAAGAAGCTTGAAAATACAGGCTGAGAATTGAATCACCAATATTTTCAGACACACATTAAGATTTGAATTAACTGCCTTCCAAATTTACTTGTGATAGAAAATTCTGAGCTGATAGGTATTTCTAAGTTGCTAAAATAACTGTACAGGCAATAAACTTTAGCATTGTTTCCCCTACAGGAAAAATATGCTGAACAGGTTTGATAAAATTTTGTATTGAGAAATAGGGAAGCAGTGGGTCAGGTGGGGAGAAAAAGGGGAAAGGGATGCTGAAGGGAAGAGAGAATTAACACACAGCAGAAGCACTGAAGCTTTAACTTAAATACAAATGATTTTCAGACTGTGTTCTAGAATACAAGGGTGATAGTCATAATTGCCCAGCTGTTTGTTTGGAGAGTTCAGCAGCTGCACATAAGTGACTACATAGATACAGGGTTTTTTGTCTTTTTTTCAATTCTGTGTCACTCTTGGTGGTGGGAGATTTTTGTTTGTTTCTTTTTTTGAGATGGAGTCTCACTCTGTTGTGAGGATGTAGTGCAGTGCTGCGATCTCAGCTCACCGCAACCTCCGCCTCTCGGGTTCAAGTGATTCTCCTGCCCCAGCCTCCTGTGTAGCTGAGATCACAGAAGAGTGCCACCATGCCCAGCTAATGTTTGTATTTTTAGGAGAGATAGGGTTTCACCAGGTTGGCCAGGATGGTCTCAGTCTCTTGACTTGGCCTCCCAAAGTGCTGGGATTACAGGCGTGAGCCACCGTGCCTGCCCTGGGGGATATTATTTTATTCGTGAATGAAGGGAGAAAAAACAATGTTTTTCTCAGAGATTTAGACAAAGCAAAGAAGCAAGAGAATTCAACTCCATCTTATCATCATTTTGTTGAAATATTGATTCAAAAAGCAATTGATTATACTTGCTTCATTAAGAACATTTAGAATATCCCAGAATATGATGTTTTTAGTTGCCTTGAGACATGTAGATTTGGAAAAAAATGTATTTATTTATGAGTACTTTTTCTTCCTGCAGTGAAATAATGAAATAATAAAAATGTAGTCAGATCTGTTTCTTTATTTAAGGCAATCAGTGCTTTATTTCCTATAACCCACAAAGTATTAAAAATTAAGTTATGAATGGGGAGTTGCTTTAATTAAAAAGGAGAATTCAATAGAAATCGCAAAATAACCCTCTTCTCTGAATTTTGGAACTCCATGGCAAACACTTACTATTGGCTAAATGTTACATGAAAGTATAGTAATTAATGTAGAGGCCTGCTCTGTGGCAGATTTTAACATTTCAATTGCCTGAAGATTAGAAGCCTTTATGTTACCATCCAGTTACATTCTGATGTTCTTTCTCACTTGAAAGTTTCTGGATTTACTCCCTTACAATTAAAAAAAAAAAAAATCTTTGGTTAGAACCTGCAATCTAATTTTCTTTCTTTGAATAGCTTTCTATATGTAACTACTAATTTTATACCAACTTAGAATTATTTCTGTCTGTTCTTTTCTTTTCCTCAACTTGCATATAGCTTTGTTTTCACTGATTGTTGAAAGTTATTTTATTACTTAAAAAATAATTTTGGCTGCTTCCACTTTTTTTTCTATTAAAACTATGAATATTTTGGCAAATAAACTAATGGCAGATAACTGTTGAACCCTACTGTGTGTTGGGGATGTTGTTATGTGTTTTAGTTGGAATTATCCCCATTAATTCTCCAACCAGCCTTGGTAGTTTTTATTATGATTTATCCCCATTTTAAAATGAGAAGATTGAGGAGTGGTGATGCTAATTTGAATAAGTCATAGAGTTGGAAGATTGCACAGGTAGGACTCAGATTCTTGTCTTCCCTTCCCTTGGTCAATCTCTGATGTTGGTGTGCCCTATGAATAAGCTCTGTTCAACTTGCCCTGCTTTGTTGGTAATCATGCTCTTGTTTCTTGCTCTAAATAATTATGCGATTCTAAAATTCATTTCTCTAGACCTGACCTCTCCTGAAACTCTAACATAATATATGCATTTGCCTGGTTAGTATCCCTACTTGGATATGAAATAGACATGTCAAACATAACAGGTCAAAACAGAAGTACTGTTTACTAATAAATACCTCATACCGCACAATGAGCTCTGGGTCTTTCCTGTGTAGTCAATATCACACTCTTCCTCCCACTTGCTCAAATAAAAATTATTGAGCTTTTAAAAAAATCATTTTTTAGTCTCATCCCCATATCTAATTAATTAGCAAGCACTATAAATTTTACTCATATATTATATGTAAATGCCCCTCACTTTTCTCCATACCTTGTGTTACTACCCTAGTCCAAGATTTCACACAGTCTAGAGCAAGAGCCTTCAGAAAGGTTTCTCTTATCCTACTCCTGCCCCCATGTAACATAGTCTCAATGCAATAGCTGCAATGATGGTTCTAAAATGGAAATTATATTATTTTAAAAATCTCTACAGTGGAATCCCATTACATCTAGGATAAAATCAGAGTTTTTTATTTGTTAACTTCTTGTCTGAATTCCTTTTTATCATTCAGATCTTAGCTTAAATGACAGTTCTTCAGGGTCACTCTCCTTGATCATCCAGTGTAAAAGCAGTCACCCTGTTACTTGCAGATCATTATATGCCCTGATGGCTTTTGTAAATACATTTGCTTATTTTTTTCTCTTTTCACTACAAAGAGGTTCCATGAGTCAAGCACCTTGCCCATCATAAGCATTAAGGCCAACACTCCTATTACAAAAGACACGTTAACAGGCGAAAGGTACAATGATGAAACAAACTGATTTAATCAAAGTGTTATGTGACACAGGAAACTTCAGAAATGAAGACTTAAGACCCAGGGAAAATTGTTTATTTCTATGCATAGGTTTGATGAAGAATAAATAGCTATTCATACATGTGATTGAACAACAGGGTATGATCTAATAGTAATAAACTGATATAGTTTGGATATTTGTCCCCACCCAAATCTCGTGCTGAAATGTAATCCTCAATATTGGAGGTGGGGCCTGGTGGGACATACTTGGATCATAGGGGCGGATCCATCATGAATGGCTTGGGCCATCCCCTTGGGGATAGTGAACTCTTGGCCTGAGTTTGCACAAGATCTGGTCTCTCTCTCTCTTGCTTCTGCTCTGGCCATGTGATGTGCCTCCTCCCACTTTGCCTCCTGCCATGAGTAAAAGCCTTCTGAGGCCTCCCCAGAAGCAGATGCTGGAACTATGTTTCTTGTACAGCTGGCAGAACCATCAGCTAATTAAAACTTTTGCTTTGTAAATTACCCAGTCTCAGGTATTTATTTACAGCAATGCAAGAGTTGCCTAATATATAGATTGAGTGGGGAAACCCAGCAATGCCTGTCTGGTCAGATTCTTTTTTGTCTCTCTATGTAGCATCTTTTCCTCCTGGTTATAGGACAGCACCCCTCTGGAATGAGAGTCTTCAAGGGACAAAGGAGAAAGTAGGACTAGGTTTTATGCCTTGCTTTGGATAAGAGAGGTTCTACTTTCTATTTCACACCTTAGGAAGGGAATTCTGGTTCTTATGATTTGCTTCAGGAGAGAAAGTGGGGCAGTAAGGCAGGCAGAGGTCAGAGAAACTTCTGACCCCAGAAGAGGTGGCATGTGCTTGTAATTCCAGCTACTTGGGAGACTGAGGCAGGAGAATCACTTGAACCTGGGAGGAGGAGGCTGCAGTGAGCCAAGATCAAGTCAATGCACTCCAGCCTGGGCAACAGAGTGAGACCCTGTCTCAAAAACAAAACAAAACAAAACAAAACAAAACTGACTGATATGTTTAAAATCCTGGGAAAAAAAATCTTTCTTGGCCTAACACTAAAGAAGTAAACTAAGAAATCTATAAATATCACCAGATAAAAATTAAAACTCTCTACATCATAAATATAGGTAAAATATAAATTTTAAATGGCTAAAACTATCTGAAATACAAATGACAAAGAAAGGGCTCTCATGTATCAATAGTAAAAGGAAACAAATAGAAAAACAGGCATTGGACTATACCATGTAATTCATAAAAGAAGAAATGTTAATGTTAATTAAATTCTGAAATGAGTACAGGTACAACCAAGATGGTGTCAGGGCTCAGAACATGATAAGCAGAATATGGCTGATATGGTTTTGCTATGTCCCCACCCAAATCTCATCTTGAATTGTAGCTCCCATAATTCTCATTATTATGGGAAGGACCCAGTAGGAAATAACTGAATCATGGGGGTGGTTTCCCCCATACTATTCTCATGGTAGTGAATAAGTCTCATAATATCTGATAGTTTTATAAAAGGAAACCCTTTTCACTTGATTCTCATTCTCTCTCTTGCCTGCTGCCATGTGAAACGTGCCTTTCGCCTTCCGCCATGATTATGAGGCCTTCCCAGACACATAGAACTGTGAGTCCATTAAACCTCTTTTTCCTCATAAATTACCTAGTCTCAGATCTGTCTTATAAGCAGTGTGAAAGCAAACTAATACAATGGTTCATTAGCATGCTGAGTAACTTGAACTGAAGAACATTGGAAGGGCCTCACTATTAATATGTGAGAGCCCTTGCTATGTCATTTGTATTTCAAATAGTTTTAGCCATTTAAAATTTATATTTTATCTTTATTTATGGTGTAGAGAAGTTTTAATTTTTATCTGGTGACATTTATAGCTTTCTTTAGTTTATTTCTTTAGTGTTAGGCCAAGAAAGATTTTCTTTTCCCGAGATTTTAAACATATCAATCAGTTTTGTGTGTTTGTTTGAGACAGGGTCTCGCTCTGACACCCAGGCTGGAGTGCAGTGACTTGATCTTGGTTAACTGCAGCCTCCGCCTCCCAGACCCAAGCGATTCTCCTGCCTCAGTCTCCCAAGTAGCTGGGATTACAGGCACCTGTTGTCACTCCCAGTTAATTTTTGTAAATTTTAGTAGAGATGGGGTTTCATCATATTGGCCAGGCTGGTCTTGAACTCCTGACCTCAGGTGATCCACCTGCCTCCCAAAGTGCTGGGGTTGCAGTTGGGAGCCACTGTGCCCAGTCATATTAGCCAGTATTTTGAATTTTTTTCTTTCATAGTTTTAGTTTTTATGTTTTAAATTTTGATTTGCCTGAAATTTATTTCGGTATAAGAAATGTTAGAAAACTGGCTGCTGTTGCTTTCTTACATTTTTTTAAAATACAGTTAGTCAGTTTTCCTGGTATCACTATTCTTCCTACTATGCCTTATTGGCTAATTAAGTTTTCTCTCAATGGTTTTCACATTCTGTATTCCCATACACACTTGGGTGGATTAGTAGATTCTCTATTCCAGCATGTTCCAAGTAGTGTTCTTGGGAAGATAATTTTAGAAATTATCTTCAGAAAAAAATGAATGATTATGTAAGTATGGAAAATTTGGGACTCCATAAATGGATTTCTAGAGTAATACTTTTCAGACTCTTTAATATACTAAAATGGGTTGTAAATCTCCAGGAGATGGATTAGAAAGTCATATTTTTGATGAGTATTTGCCCATGTGTTTTTCCTGGGGTGGGGGAGGGAAGGCATTTCAATTGCACATAATGTGGGAAACCTGATCTAGTCTCTTTAATTCATCTGTCTATGTTTAGGCCAGTGCCACAATCTTTTAATTCATGTATCTTTATAATACATTTAACACATTTTATCATTTGATGAGGGATGTTCTCTCTTATTAGTGTCTTTTTCTCAGATTAGGAGAGATTTCTTAAATAATAGTTCTCACATCTCTTACAAAATAGGAAAAACATGCCACGAAAATTTTAGTAATGTTGTGGTGGTACCTTGAATTCATCCATGGTGGGAATTTGTACACTGTGGAAATTGACAAATGCTGCAAGTCAGGACACTTCTGTTGCTACTGTTGTTTTCAGAGAGTCTATATCAGCATGCCATATCTTTATTCCATACCAATTTCAAAAAAAGTTGGAAAAATGACATGATTTTAGTAAATGTGAAATCACGGTGTTAATTAATAACCTTACCCAACTGAAGGCATTACATTTAACTTGATGATTATCCCCGAATATTCCTTTAAAGTTTGAGACTAAAAACTATAGATTTCTAAAAGGAGCAAGTTTTAGAGTACACAACTGTCAACTGTTCATCTTCAGCTAATTTTGGAAATATTTTAAGTATTTTCATAGAACAGGTATTTTATATACATTTGTTTTGATATTCAAATTAAAATGGGTATTTTATACAGTATACTTCCTGAAATTTTCCTTAATTGTTGTGATTTAGGCATTGAAAACTAATTAGGATAGTAAATCTGAAGCTTAGAAAGATCGCACAGTTCCTCCCACACCATAATTTAAGCCAATGTAGCTTAAATTTTCACTCTAGGTAACTATAGATTACATAATGTCAAGCTTTTTTCACCCAAAAATCTTTGAGTTATATTCTCAGCTACTTTCTGACTCTGACTACTCTACATACATTAACAGAAAATCAAGGGACAGCTCTGGTCAGACTTACAAATGCTTTCTGGTATAGTGGAAGGGAACACTGAATTCAGAGTCACAAAAGATGAATTCTAGTTCTTACTATGGCTTTCATAAGAGGGTAACAATGAAAAGAAACAATGAGGGAAATTTTATCTCCATTTCAAATAGGGTATTGTCTCTAGCAATATTATTTTCCTTTCCTTTTCTTCTCATTTCCCCTTCAAACCATTGGTATGTCACTTCTCACAATTCTAGCACTACACCTTACATGGAATGAGTGTTAGAAGGGCTCTGCTTATTTAGAAAGAATTAGTAATATATTTGACGAACACAAAAGAAAATCAGAAAAAAATATTTGGCAAGAGATCCTTACAGTAAAAATCTGGAGGTCACTAAGAATCATTTAGTTCTACAGTCGGGTCACCATACTGATTGTATTATCAATTTGAGGATAATAAAATTGCTTCCAGAAAGTTCTTTCTTGAGATGTTGGTTTGAGGTTTGCTCTAACTTTACTTATATAGTACCTAAAATTACTTTTAATTTTGTTCAATCTCATTTCCTATAATGGGGAAGTTGACATCGATTGCATGACAATTCTATTTAAATATGCTTGATATAAAAATATTTTCAATGTGTAGAGATGAGAACTTTAGCCTGATTAGGTTACCTGCTTAAGAAAAGTCCCTTTCATTGCTTTCTAGCAGCATTTGATGAGTTAAATTAAAAAGCTTTTTCAAAGTTTTACCTTTTTCTAACATCATGAGACTGCTAACTTTTCCTACTAGAGTAAAAATCCTTAACCATACTTAATAAAAGTCAGGCTTCTTTGTCTTCTTTAGATTAAGTTTTTGTCGATAATTGTTTTTTTTTTAGAACTTGAACTTTAGCCAGATGAATGTTTTGGTACAAACAGAAGACATTAGTCAAGGGACCACTAGACTAATGAAAGAGAAAGAGAACCAAGAAAGGCCAATTGAAAAGTGGATAGATTTCTATACTCAGCAAAAATGCAAATGCTAATGATATTGACAAATCTCTAATTAACAGGTGACAGAGTTCACTATATAATCTTCATCCACTTACTTTAATGAAATACCGCAATATTCTTAATATTAAACAAAAGTAAAATTTACTTTGATCTGGGCAATGGATAAAGAGCCAGGTTTTGAATTAAAATATGGACTTTGTAAAAATCAAACTCAGTTTAGGTCATATGCTTAGAAATAAATCTTTGGTTTCATAAAATTCAGCCCATTTAAGCTAATTTAATTTGACACCGAAAGTCAGTATTGAATTTTAATTTGATACTTAGAGTCAATGTTAAAATAATATGAAAAATCCAATTATCCCTTTACTTCAGTAGCACCGTTAGAATACTCAGAGCACATCCTACCAGGAAGCAGGAAGTAGTGGAAATCCAACAGAAGAGCTGGTTTCTTTTAGACTGCAGGTCAAGGAAGTTTTAATGTTGTTGTTTTTATTTTGATATAAATATAGAATTTTAACCTATCATCTAATTTGCTTATCAAAAAGACACAATTTAAGCACAATATTAATGCCTTTCTCTTTTTTGTTAAATAAGTTGCCAAAAAGGGAATTGTTTTAATGGGTAAAATGCTATAACTTTACTTCACATATTTTCCATATCTACTGATCCATTGGTTAAAGTCTTATCTCACCCACTCTGTATTCATTACCAGATAAGAGCCTTTCTTCTGCTGCTATAATTTATTGACAGCATCTTGACAACTTCTTTCTGCTTCTCTGTGTCCTATCCATTTTTCAGGGGTTTGCTCAGTGACTTTTCATGGCCATTGCAACCCATGTTGCAGTTTCCCACCTCTCAATATTTTTAGGAGGTGGAGTCTATATCAGTCATCTTAGTAAGAAAAAATCATGAGGTTTACAGTATTCTTAAAATGTTTTAAAGTTTATAACTCCTGTGTCTTTAAAATACAGGGTTCCAAATATATTTGAAACAAATTCCAGAATTGCAACATGTACATTCGTAGCAAATTTTTTAAGTTGTTTTGCTTTTTTCATTATAACATATTCCTTTAAATATAGTAATTTGTTACTTCATGTTTGTCATTTAACATATATTTACGAGTTATATATCTTATATATCAGGCACTATAGTAGTGCTGGAAATATAATAGTAAATAGACTTGTATATTCTTGTGTATGTATAGAGACAAATAGGTAAACAAACAAATGAGCTAAATAATTATAGCTTATTATGACAAGGCTGTGAAGGGAAGGAAATAGGCAAAGTAATAGACTATAGGCAGACAGGGGACTATTTTTCTTTCTCTCAGTTTTACAGATAAGTACAGTGAGTTAACCACTTGTTGACAGCCTCTGGCCAGCTGTAGCTAGCCCAGGACTGTTGGAGTCGATAGCCCTATATGTCCCTCTGCTACATGCTGCCAATAAAGAAAATTCCATGAAAAGTTATTCTGATGGGATCCAAATTTTTATCTGGGGAATTTGGCTAAAACATCTTATAAAACCTTTAAGTTATTATTTAGAAAAGTCATCATCTGTGTTGTCTTGGAGAGAATGGCATATCAAGAAAACAGAAGGCAGAGCCCAGAAATAAGCATATAACAAAAGCATGTTATATACATGAGACGCTTTCAGAAAGCATTGGTAAAAGAAGTGAGTATTCAGTAAATGGTGCTGGGATAATTAGTTATCTATACACAAAAAAATAAAACGAATTTTGACCCCTACTTGGTACTATACACAAAAATAAATTCTAAAAGGAATAAAGATATACATGTAAATGTGACTATAAGTTTCTTAGAAAAAAATATAGAAGACCTTCTTTATGATATTGAGGTAGTAGGGGATTCTTAAGTCACAAAATTTGCAAATAATACAGGAAAACATTGATAATGTGATCACATCTAATTTTTTTTAAATCAAGCTTCAGACTGGGAGAAAATAGTTGTAAAACATACAACTGAGCAAAGAGATAGATCCTGAAATTGATAAATAATTTACACAAAGTAGAAGCAACCCATTGAAATAAGGGCAAAGAGTATGAACAGGCAGCTCACAGAAGAAATAACATTTGTAAACATGCTCAACTTTGTGAGCAGTCAGAGAAATAAAAATTAAAACTACAGTGAGATATATCTAACCCATCAGATTGTCAAAAACTGACTAACAAGATTGGAAAGAATATAGAGGAACAGAAAATCTCATGTATTCTATCCATGAGATTAAATTCGGTAACAATTTAGAGAGCTATTTGGTAGTATCTTTTAAGGCTGACCGAGTATCAGCAATGAGTTAGCAATTCCACTTTTAAGACCTTTGTATGAACCCAAAAGCCAACCAACCAAACAAAATATATATGGATTTTTTTTAACCACATTGAATGTAATGGTGAAAAATTAGAAATGATCAAAGTCCATGAATGTAAAAATGGAAGAATACATTGTGAGTTTTATCAACATGAATTAATTTCAAAACAGTTTTAGAGGCCAGGCACAGTGGCTCATGCCTGTAATCCCAGCACTTTGGGAGGCCAAGGCAGGCAGATCACGAGGTCAGGAGATCGAGACCATCTTGGCTAACACAGTGAAATCCCATCTCTCTAAAAATATAAAAAATGATCAGGGCTTGGTGGCACGCGCCTGTAGTCCCACCTACTTGGGAGGATGAGGCAGGAGAATCGCTGGATCCCGGGAGACAGAGGTTGCAGTGAGCCGAGATCGTGCCATGGCACTCCAGCCTGGGCAACAGAGCGAGACTCCGTCTCGAATAAAACAAAACAAAAAAACAAAACAGTTTTAGGAAAAAAGTTAACTACAATATGATACCTTCTGTGTGAATAAAAGGACAGTTTATATATGGTTATTAGATAAACACATTTGTAGTAAAAATATGCACTAGAATATATATTCAACTTGAGAAAGTAGTTACTTCAAGGAGTGTAGGAAATGATAAAAGAGGATTTAAGTTTATCTGAAGCATTTTGGTTTATCAAAAACCTAGAGATTAAAATATCATGTGATAAAATATTAACATCTGTGAAATCTGTATGGTGAGTAAATTAGTGTTCTATTATCTGTACATTTGAAATATTTTGTAACAAAAATAGCCACAATCTTATAATTTTCCTTGATAATTGCATTTTTTCATATCACGCAGGTTTTTGTGGTATTTATCACTTACGTATTTTTCTTTCTTTCCTTTCTCTCTCTCTCTTTCTTTCTTTCTTTTTCTCTCTCTCTCTCTTTCTTTTTCTTTCTTTTTTTTTTCTTTTTTTTTTTTTTTTTTTTTTTTTTTAGATAGGATCTTACTTTGTCACCCAGGCTGGAGGGAGTACAGTGGCTTGGATACAGCTCACTGCAGCCTTGAACTCCTGGGCTCAGGCAGTCTTCCCACCTTAGCCCCTGAAGTTGCTGGGACTACAGGTGTGTGCCACCATGCCCAGCTAAATTTTTTCATGTGTTTTGTAGAGACGGAGTTTCATGATGTTGCCCAGGCTGGTCTTGAACTCCTGAGCTCAAGTAATCTGCGCACGTTGGCCCCTTAAAGTGCAGATTGCATGTGTGAGCTACTATGCCTGGCCTATCACTTAGTTTTTATAGTTATAAATTCTACTTTTTTTCTCATTTCATTATGTACTAAAATGGCATTATAAATGGAACATTTTACTCAAAGTTAAAGCATATATATTTGTATACTCATTTATTCACACTGACTTTTTTAGATTAAAAAAAAATGTCAAATGGAATCTCTTTGGAAACAACTGAGACTATCGTAGACCAGGGTGCCATAACACATAGTTGCAAGACAACTGTAAAAGTTAATGGTGAATATGATTATTTTCCCTGCAGAAGGAAGAAGAAACTTTATGAAAATCTTTCTTGCCTGTCCTCCTGGGCAAAGCTGGCAATCCAGAGGTTTTAGCTGCATAGATAATACTCTGGGTAACAGCCACAGCTGGTGTTGAGGCAGGGATAGGAGGCAGTAGAATCAATTCCTCTGAATTTGCCATGCTTTCTCCTTCTCCCTCTCCTTCTCTTTCTCCTTCTCCTTCTCCTTCTTTTTTTTTTTTTTTTTTTTTTTTTGAGATGTATTTTTGCTCTTGTCACCCAGGCTGGAGTGCAGTGGCATGATCTCGGGTCACTGCAACCTCCGCTTCCTAGGTTCAAGTGATTCTTCTGCCTCAGCCTCCTGAGTAGCTGGGATTACAGGCGCTCACCACCATACCCAGCTAATTTTTGTATTTTTAGTAGAAATGGGGTTCCACCATGTTGGTCAAGCTGGTCTCAAACTCCCAACCCCAGGTGATCCACCCACCTCGGCCTCCCAAAGTGCTGGGATTACAGGCGTGAGCCACTGCGCCTGGCCAGAAGCAGACTTTAAATATTCAAATATAGGCCACGCGCAGTGGCTCATGCCTGTAATCCCAGCACTTTGGGAGGTTGAGATGGGTGGATCACTTAAAGTCAGGAGTTTAAGACCAGCCTGGGCAATATGGTGAAACCCCTTCTGTACTAAAAAATACAAAAATTAGCTGGGCGTGGGTGTACACACTTGTAGTCCCAGCCACTCGGTAGGCTGAGGCAGGAGAATCACTTCAACCTGAGGGGAAGAGGCTGCAGTGAGCGGGGATCATGCCACTGCACCCCAGCCTGGGTGACAGAGCGAGACTTGGTCTCAGTAAATAAACAAATAAATACTCAAACATAGGGATCTTCCTGTTCATAGCATCCTGTTTCTTCTCAGCTCTGCCTCCTAGCAGTACATCCAGGCACTAAGCTATGCCATAACAGATATGAACTATTAAAGTGAGTAAACTGTCTACTTTATTTTCCAAGATGAGCATGGTTTCACGTTATACTGTCTCAAAACTCCTAGATGCTAATATTATCAAGTGATTCAGACAAGAAGCAGAACGCTGAAAATGTAGAACAAAAGGCAGATCTTGATAACAGAATGAGAGGCCATTCCTTTACCATTTCTGTCTAATATGTCACAAAGATTACTTCACTGAATAAAATTTACCTCTTTTAAAAGACACTACCAAGCATGTTGATACAAGGCAATGTGAATAAATAAATTAGACCAGAAGTGTATACTTTATCTTTTGAGTCATTACAAGTTCAAAATGTTAAGTGCAAAACAGGAAGTCATAAATGCCTGTCAATCAAGTGGCCTAGTTATTGACAACCATTTTTTTAGAATCCTTTGAACTCTATTTATAGCTAAAGAGCTACAGATGTGTTTCTGTGACTCATTCTCATTTGTAACACAAAGTACAAGGTGAAGACTGGACTTTCTTGTATAAAATTCTAAAGAATCTGAGGTGACCCTAAGTTATCTTTGAAGTCGTACAATTACATGAGAACATTACTGAACTGTATATGGGGCAATTTTAGATTTCACATAACATTGGACTTTTAATATTATTTGAGATATAAGATTTTTCCATCTCTAGTGAAGAGCTGGCCAGTAAATGATATGATCAAAAATCATTCGCACAAGGCTTTAGGTCATAAGGCTACCTTTGTAGCATAACCCATTTCATTTGAAAATGGTGGTCTGGCAGAATCATTCTGTGCTGAGAGGAACTAAAGGTTCCATGTCTTAGCCTACCCAATTTCAGTTTGGAGCAAGCGATTTTTGCTCCTAAGAGTGAATAAGAAAGCAAGATACCTTCAGGTTGGGATGCTACAGAGATTCAAGTGTCTGATTTGTTAATCTAAGTCATCTGAGAAGTTATACGAGCTTAGCATACTCACATATAGCTTCAGGCTGAAAAGGAAGATTCACTGGGGAGTTAATGAATTAAATCCAGTAATGAACTGAGGTGGGATCATGGGAGTCAAAGTAGGAGAAGCCAAGGGCAAGGAAGAGAGAGGCAAAATTTGACACCAGAGTTCAGGACTAGACAAGTCAAGTAGAAGCGGCAGTTTTCAAACATTGTTGTGCATGAGAGTCATCCAAAGAGAAAGTTAAACATATAGATGCCAAGACTCGTTCTGATCCACTAATTCTGAACCTCTGGAATGGGATGTGTTCTAGATACACGTGTCTTTTAAAACCTCTGGAGGTAATTCTCATGCACAGAAAAGTTTGTTAAAAACTGGATTGGAACATCCAGAAGGATTGGAGTTCTCTGGTATTTTAGATGAGAAAAGTATTCCTCTGAAGAAGTAAGCAGCGCATTTCATGAACATGTCCACAACCATCCGGATAATATTATAATATTTGGTCCCAAGGGTTGCTGGAAGCAGTGTGAATTAATACATTGTGGGCACCAGGCTACAAATAAGGGAAGTGTAGGAATCAATTAACTGTCATCCCTAGCCTTCAATTATTGTCTCACACCACTTCCAAGTTTCAAGGATAAGCTGAATTGGACTTCATTGGGTCAGAAAATTTGTTTTGAGTATTTCTTTTGCATTAACTGGTTTGTTTGTGACCTCACGCAAGTTACTTAACCACTTGAGCATTATTTTCTTTTTTTGTTAATGGGGTAAAATTTTTTGCCTTCCTATTAGGTGGTAGAAATTACTTTAAAAATTTTAAACTTTACATGAATGGAAATTTACATGGATTAAAAACGTAAACACTAAGTATAGATGTGAAAAAGTAAAAATATAAATACATTTTATATAACTGAACATGGCTTTGATGACTTAAGTCTTCATGGAATAAATAACTTCTTTCTTGTATTCCAGAATATTCAGTCTGATCTAAGTCTTTTCTACTCAGATTTATATATAAGTTTGTTTTTTTAAATTTCAGGCACTGTGTAGATTAAAATGTAGTCACTTTTCGGCAAATTCTCAACTGTTGGAGTTTCTTCTCCATCTCTTTTCTGCAGCTTTTTTGCAGGGAATGGGGGAAAAGTCTTGAACAAGAGATGCTTCTGGAGTAATGCAGGCCATTGGTTAGGGGCTTTTCCCCTTTGAGTTATACTTCAGACCACTGCTAAAATCTGCCACAGTTGGTAGATTTCTGTATCTGCTGGTGTGGACAGGTTGCTGTATCTGTTGGTATGTGGCTAGTCTTACCTGTCATTTGGGGTATTATGCTGGCATGTGGCACCGTCATGATGCAGGGGCAAATTCTATGAGGTTTCAGGCCCTCTCTCAGTCTTCAATACTTGACTGTGCTCATTCCTTGTTAGAGGAGTTATACACTAAGTATGAAGTGCTTTAGGTCAAGGTCTCCCAGAAACAGACCTTGATGCAGGGATTTGAATGTATGTAAATTGTAAGTAAGTACTCCCAAAAGAAAATGATGAAGAAGCAGGGGAAGCAGGGTATGGATCAGGAAAACCCACCAAGTGCCCAGGGTCAGGTAAAGTTCTAGTCTCAGCTAGATTCTGCAGGAGTTCTGGAATGTAAATTATACTTTAGAGTTTGCATTTCGAACTAAGGAAGGTGGGCCTTTTTACTCCCACATCAGTTACTCATTGGTTAAGAGGCAGGGGTGGGAAGTGGGTGGTGGTCATAAATTACTTGGCATTTCTAACAAGGTTGCTCCTGTAACTCAAAGCCAATCTTCTGTAAAATGTCAAAGATGCAAGTCTTTAGCAGAATAGCAGAAGCTGAGGGACAGATACACAGAGATGCTAGGATCTCAGGGTATTTGGGCAGGAGCCCAGAAACATCTGCTTCAGTCTACCTTGCACTGCTTTTCCATTAAGTTCACAGATTTTTCAAAAACCCGACTGGTCACAATTTCTGCAGAAAAACTGATGAGACATCTTGATGTGACAAGCTTTAATCACCACTGCCATAGTTGGTCTCAAGACCAAAACAGATTCTCATAATTGCCCTCCTCTAACACCCATTTTAAACTCGCTCTAGTATCCTGATATTATTCAGCATTCTGTGCTGGTAAATAAGATATTCTGTAAGCCCTCAGATATGGTACATGCCAAGGCACTCAGAAGAGACAATATAATTGATAGCTGTGTGGAGTGAACCCAAGAATCATTTGAGTGATTTACTCTGGTTACCATGCAGTTATGGTTGCTGCGATTGTTTATTCACAGTTAAAACTTCTTCTGGGAGTCAGCGTGATACACTTCCTGTATGACCAAGTAAGTTTCTATTCAGTAACACTTGCATAGATAACAGATGCGTACCCTAGACAAAATAACAACAACAACAACAACAACAACAACAACAAAACTACCCGAAGGCGTTGGAGGCAAAGTGAAAGAAGATTTTGGAGACAGTCAGTAGTTGGATAAAGAAAATGTGTGGATAAAAGGTATTTTTCATTTTCATGGCTTCTCGATTGGAGATAGTTCTCTTTCCATTCTATTCGGAGCATGTAGAATTGTCATTTACAAACCTGCAGTATCTCTGGACTAAAGAATAGAAGGACCAAGTTTGAGGCAACCACAATAGCTGGAAATACAGGAGGAGTCTCAGAAAGGAGGGGTTCAGAGAGGGAGAGTTCTAGATTCTATGCACAAATTCCATGCACATTTGTATATAAACTCTAAAAGTCTCTGGATAGCCCCTGAACCACTCATATATGAGAAAGACTCCAAACTACCCAGTTAAGAACAAAACAAAACAAAATAAAACATCAAGAACAAAAAGCAGATCTAATATTTGGGCTGCTGCTTGGGAGACAGAGTTTCTTGTTTCTGTCCAATCAATAAACTACCTGATAAAACAAAACAAACAAAGACCAAATATCAACACTTTCTGGAGCAGATAACAAAATCCAGTCTCCAAAATATATATTCACAATTTCCATGATAACAACCCAAAGTAATTCTGTATATGAAGAAATAGAAAAACATGGAAAAATAGGACCCATTCTCAAGAGAAAATAAAATTAATAGGGACTGACCCTGAGATAAAACAGATTTTAAAATTAGCAGGCAAAGGTTTTACAGTAGCTATTATAATAATGCTATCAGGAAAATATGCTTATAATAGATTAAAAAGCAGAAAATATCAGCAGAGAAATAGAAACTATAAAAAAGAATCAAATGGAAATATTAGATGAAATAAATATAATACCTGAAATAAAAACTGAGGCTGAGAACGAAACTCTAGCTCTATTACATAATAGCAACGCTAAGTCTTCATAATGATTAAGGTCAATTATTCCTGTCAAAAATGGTAATTTTTTTTTCCTACTGGTTTACTAGTGTGAGGAGTCAAAGAGACTCAATGGCAACCAACGTTTTACACTCAATGGGCTCTTGTGACTTGATAGTGCCACTCCTCCATGAAGACTAGGGCCTTTAAACTTTCAAAGCTTAAAGATGCAGAGAAGGGAAGCACACATTCTCAAATATGTCAGTGGGAATAATAGTGAGCAGGGAAATTCTACTTCCATCCATTGGTTCTGGGACTCACGTAGTTTACTGTTTGGGGACCCAGGTCCATACAAAGATTGTTACCTTAAGGTTTATATCATATTCTGAAGGACAATTCCCTACCTTCACAAGAGGTCGTATCTAAGATAATGCCTCAGCTGTACCTTTAAGACTATATTTTAACACTCTGTCAGGCTAGCAGTTTCTGGATTGTGTGGTATGTGATGAGACCAATGGATCATCTGGTCATGTGCCTACTGCTGCACATTTTTTGCTATTAGGTAGGTACTGTGGCCCAACGTGATATTATTCAGGATACTGTGCCTGTAAATAAGACATTCTGTGAGCCTTCAGATACAGTGCATGCCAAGGCACTCTGGCTGGAAGAGACAACCCCCTTTTCTTTTTTAATCCTGAAAAAGTGCTTTCCTTTTTAGGATGAAAGGGGTCCCATGTAATCAACTTGCCACAAACTAGAGTTTTTGTCTCCTTGAGTGATCATAATAATATCAGGGACTCGGCATTGGTCTCTTTTGCTGATATATTGAAGAGAATGTTTTTAGTGTCAATAGCTAAGTCATGGATAGCTTCCATCCTTGACATCATGGATAATCTGTTTATGAATCTATTGTGCAAGTGCTGGGGTAATCAAGGACAAATGCCAATTAACATCTGTTTGATGAATCATCCTGTTCATCTAATTGTTTAGTCCCTCTTCTGCAATGGATGCTCTGTAGTGGGTATTGTAGTGTGATAAAAATATCTTTTCCTACTGTAATTGTTCTTGTCCACAAGTCACAGATCAATGTTAGGGTTTTATCAGATCCTCAGTATTTCCATTTCATTTATTCATCCAGGAGTCAGAGGAATGATCATTGGATAAGTCTGTATCCATGAAACTCTCTATTTGTTAAACCTGAGCCAGAAATCTAAGCTGGGCATGGTGGCTCATGCCTGTAATCTCAGCACTTTGGGAGGGTGAGGCAGGTGGATCACCTGAAGTCAGGAGTTTGAGACCAGCCTGGCCAACATGGTGAAACCCCGTCTCTACCAAAAGATAAAAAAAAATAGCCAGGCTTGGTGGCGGATGCCTGTAGTCCCAGCTACTTGGGAGGCTGAGGCAGGAGAATCCCTTGAATCTGGGAGGTGAAGGTTACAATGAGCCAAGATTGTGCCATTACACTCCAGCCTGGGTGACAAGAAAAAAACTCCATCTCAAAAACAAACAAACAAAAAAACCTAAGCCAGAAATCTATTTATTATTTGACACCCACATGCCTATACTTTAATAGGGGAATCAGCATAATGCTTTGGATTCCTGATATCAGGATTAGTTCAGGCCCAACCACCCCTAAAATCTGTGTATTTCTCTTTTTTGAATATACAGTTACTTAGGTAGATGGCTGCAGGTCTGGTTGGGAAAGGACAAGGAGCATCACTACTGTTAAAGCATGTTGTCACATTGCATCTACCTTCCTTGGGAGCTTAATATCTTTTAATCTTTGGATTCTAGATGTGGAAACTGGCCCAGGTGTGGAATTTTCAACTGAAGTGATTGATATTAACATTTTTAATCTCCCCTTCTTAAGAAGATATAAAAACCTTCTCAGCAACTCATCTCAATTGGCCCTAGACACACCATCATCTTTTAGTCATTGACGTAAATCCCCCAAGAGCCATGATCCCTGGCTACCATTTTGACCTTATTTTCTGTTAGGGTAATTACATCTACTCTGCCTCTAATGGTTAAAGTCTGCCACCCGAATCTTTCATACTTACTGTTAATAAGAAGCCCAGTTCCATAAAAGCATCTTCTATTACCAGTCCCAGGCTTCAGCAGACAGCTGCTGTAAGATTCTTGGCAATATTAGAGACCCTGTCACTAAAGGAATTCATTATTTCATATCGCTATAGTAAACAGAGTATCCCCTAGGCTTTCCTGAACATAGTCAACTGGTGTTTTGGAGGGATGTGGGTTACATATTAGTTACATACAGGCATGCCCACTGAGCCTTTTTCTCTCTTTCTCCATACTGCACCAGGTCAACTCTTCCATTTTCACATCACATCATGAGGGTTATTGTTTTTTACAGGCTTGCATGACAAAAGTCCTTAAAGGAGCAACTTATTACATCCAGCTCCAGAGGGTTTTTCTAAAAAGTGAAAAATCCTGAGTTAGATGATTTTGTCCCCAAATAAACAAACTTTCTATTATCCAGCTTTATATTCTAAATTCTCCTCCTTAACCATCTAACACCCTCAAAATATACTCCAAGGCATTTTTCTAGTTTATGTTGCTACAGATTAGTTAGGTCCTGAAGCCCATTCAATCTATAATACCTTTCCTTCTTTAGCAGGGCAGCACTTCCCCAGTGATCTTAGTTCTTGGTTCTTAGTTCTTGGTTTGGTGTCCAGGATGGGAGATAGGAACAGATCTTGAGGAGAACAGCATTTTTTTTTACAAAGTCCCTGTCTTGGTTGAAACATCTACATAGTCTTTAAACAAGAGGAAGGAAGGTTAGTCTACCCAGAAGGTTTTGATGAATCTGTGGGTACTAGGTTGCCATGTGCATCTACCACATATTTCTATTCCAAGTCTCAGGATCTCACTACCAGGTAGCTACTTTTGGAGTGAGAGACTTAATCATCTAGCAAATTCATTCTGCCTTGAAGTTATGATACTTTATCATTAAGTCCTGGGCCTGGTCATAATTTGGGCTCTCCTCTGCCTACAGATGGTAAGGGTTTTTTTACAGGTTGCCTTAGGCTCTCTGTCTTTCACATTTTGTAGTAAGTTGGGCTAACTTCAGCCTATTTTCTCCCTTCAAAGCATCAATGCCACTTAGCAACCACCAACTAATTTCAAAGTCCTTATAAGTACTATTTTCTTTATACCTCTCAAATGCCAAAGATATTTACCAAAGCCAGTGCATTCCCTTCTACCTGTACCTCTTCTCAGATAATAGCAACATTACTGTGGCCTAACAGGGCTCATCGACATTCCACACACTTCTGTGATATGATCCTCATTCATATCTGTCCTACATGTTATCCAAAACTTAGAATCCCATTTGGACAGTCTATAAGAAGGATCACTTCATGTACCAATTGCTTTAAGTTAGTTTTCACAGAAGCAGATTTGAACTAAGGACTGGACTACAAGTGGGTTATTTAAACAATGCTTCCAGGAGAGAGTGGAAAGAGAGTGAATAATTAGAATATTGAAGAAAAAGGAGATTATGAGTGCAGCTTCAGGGGAAGCTCCAGGCTCAGACTGATCCCAATGGGCATATATATTTTATCTTGGAGTTTGTTTCATCTTGAGGCAAGAAAACTGAATTTTGTGCTTCTTTCTTGGCTGGTGTCCTAGATCCTCACCACCTTGAAGGCGTTGTAAACTTCCGTGCACTTCTGGCTCATTATAGGAACAAAACCCTGAAGGGCATGCGGGCACAGACTGTGACAAAGCACACATAACCAAGGGGATAGGAACAGTAGCAAAAGAGATCTGAGAAGGTCTGAGTGGGCACCAAGAGCATCCACTGCAGGAGATCCTCCTAGAGGTTTGCAGTAGCCCAGGGAAGCAAGGTCCCAGCACACGATGTTTTTAGATTTTCCCAAACCAATCTGGGTGTTTTTAGGATATCCCTTAATCCCTTAGCCCTGAGTTTGGTGAAAGACAAGAGTCAGACAACATCACGCACATCAAACACTTTGCCCTTCTCTTACCTTTGTCCAGCTTCTGCCAGCACCGGAAAGGCTTTTTCATTTTTTTTTTTTTTTAACTATTCTCATAGCACATCTTTCTTCTTCCTTATTCTATGACTCACAGTAGAAATTCTGTGATCTTCATCCCCCATGGCATGACACCATATTTTCAAAAAAATCTATCCTTGTATTTTTAAGAAAATCACTTTCTCTTTCAAAAAAGCCCAATTCCAGCAAATAAAAAAAATACTTGACTTAACTTGATGCTTCACATAGGGCTAAAAAAAAATCATTTTGGAGCTTCAAACCAAGCAATGACTCTTCTGAACTTGGCTGAGTACTGCTGCCCCTTGAAACAACTGATGCCATTGTTTCAAAAGGTAGTGTTGCTAGGGGGCAAGTGAAAAGAATAAAATGTTGTTTTGCTAGCTCAGTAATGTCATTTTTGTCAAACAAATTATTGTAATATTATTGAACATTCCCAATTTTTCTGAGCTGCATAGTATTTTTATAATCTGCTCATGCTGTTTAATTTATTTCTCCAGCTAAATCAAGTAGTTAGTTGTCTTCTCGCTGGCCTTTTTCTGCTTGCCTCCAGATATCTCTCTCTTGTCCTCCCATCCCTACCTAGCTTGTTTCTTCTAAATTGCTCAGGGCTAGGAAACCAGCATGTTAAGATCATGTACTCACGTAACAATATTTTGGTCAGTGATGGACCATATATATGATAGTGGTTCCATAAGATTATAATACTTTACTTTTACTGTCGTATACCCTTTCTGTGTTTAGATATGTTTAGATACATGAATATTTACCATTATGTTACAATTGACTAGCAGTATTCAGCATAGTCACATGAAACGTGGGTTTATAGTCTAGGAGTAATAGGCTATAGCATGTAGCCTAGGTGTGTAGTAGGCTAAGCCATCTAGATTTGTGTAAGTACACTACGATGTTCACACAATGATGAAATTAACCAAATGACACATTTATCAGAATGTGTTCCCATCATTAAGCAATGTATGACTGCATTTAAGAGTTTCAACAATTTAGATGGGAGACTAAGTCTTCACCCATGACATCATATGAATGGTCTCTTGGTGAGTCTTCATGACAAAAACTTCAGGTACTCAGAGATCTGTGTGCGTGTGTGTGTGTATGTGCATGCACACATGTATATGTGTTTGCCTGGATATGTTTAATTTCTTCTTAGATTCCTTTTAGTAGATGATTGTGTTGAAGTTGCTGGAAATGTAACCTTCTATAATTGGGAAGATTCTATTCTCAACACAATGATATTATCAGTTATATATCAAGTCTGCTCCATCTTTCACAGATTAAAGAAACATACACATGGACTATTCTGAAACTTTTTCAGGCCATTCTTTCTTTATTTGAAGACCCAACTTACTGTGGGTCCTACAGATTTGCATGCCCTTTGAGATAGATTAAAAAAAAAAAAAACTGGTTTAATTGCCAGGGGAGAGGCAAATTTGAGCAAAGAAAAAAGAAATACAAAACGCTCCAGGAACATGAATGGGCAAACCAACAGGACAATCGAATTAACAGGCCATGTGTGAGGCTGATTGTATATGTAGGGACCATGGCTTTCAATTAACCAGACCACACTGGGACATCTGGTGCTCCAAGTGTGTTACATCTTTACCACTGGTTTTCAAACTGGAAGGCTGCTGTGTTTTCTCTAGTTTTTCTTTGAAAAAATACTTTTATATTCTCTAATGGAGAGAACCACATCGAAGGTTGTATCATGAGCTGCTGTTCTTTCCTCAATTAAATAAATGAAACTATTGACATTATATTGAATTAATTTCACTGATGTTACATTCCTGATGAATATATGTGTTCTGAGTAAATAAGTTTAGATAATTTTGTGGCTATTACTTGAGTCATGGTAGTGAGTACTAAATTGGTGAAATGGAGGTCATTTTTAAGGTGTAAGGAATATGTAGGGAGGCTTCTGCTGCTACGCATTATTATGGAATTCATAATAGTCTTTACCCATGGAAGCAATTACTCAAAGGGTATTCCTGAATGATGGACATCTGCCTCATCTTCAAACTTTCTAATGGCGAGTGCATTTAACGTGCTGATTCCACTGTTGGACAGTTGGCTGTGGTTGTCAGAAAACATCTTTCTAAGTAAACCATAATCATCCTCCTCACTCTCCCTACATCTTTTGTCTCATCTGTTGTGGGCGGGAGCAGCAGAGTATCAAGTTATTCTCCTTGGTTCTTTGACTACTTAATAATGTCTATGATGTCCTTGCTAATATATAAATATATATAATAAAGAAAAATGCAATATATTTAGCTTAGTTTATTCCTTTTGAGCTCCCACAAGGGTTTTGTTCATTTTTGCAATCTTGTATTGTATAGCAAAGACTCAGGGCCCGGTTAATCAGATGAAACTTTGTTCTAATCAAAAAGTGTTTGTAAAGACTCTTTGTCATTTCCTTTTGACTTCACACCCTCTTCTCATCTTAATCTCTTTTTCAGATATGCATCTTAGGTCCCAGAGAAAAGGAGGCATGAGCTGCAAGCTTCCTCTTATGTTATTTACAGTTAGTTATCCATGACAGTGGAAGTTGCACAGGAAGAAGAGAATATTGTTGTTCCTAGAAAGCTTTTCATGGCTCAGTTCAGGATCTTGCAAAACAAAATCTGAGGATGAGATACATTTTAATGGAAAAAGCTTAGCATCCAATTATGGCAGATGGCTAAGACCAATAGTCTGAAATGTTAATATGCAAACAATAAGTAAGGTGTTTATTTTGGTTCCATTTCAGAATAAAAGACTGCTTCATGGTCATTTAAAGAGCTGTGCTTGGTTAGAAAATACTTTCTTTTTGGGGAAGGATCCATACAGTGATGAAATGCCTGCCAGTGAGTTTACAGAGAGGAAGTACAGATTAGTAGAATTTCATCCCTTCAAAACTTCTATTTGCTTTAAGGGATCAGAAAGAACATTTACATGAGTCATGCAAACTCTCACAGACGTGCTGAGATCTGAAGGCATTAAATGTAAGGAGAGAATACAACACAAGTTCTATAGCACAATTTTGGCATGACATTGATTATCATGCCACAGATTTGAACCTGCTGAGTGTGGGTTGAGCTAGTGAGACCTGTGTGGACAAGCATAAAATGCTGTATCTGCAGAGACAGTTGGATCCATCTGCTGAGTTTATTCATGTAATGACACAGATGTGAAAGTATATGACATTTTGTTCACCTAAAGTGCCAAATCCCCATTCTACTCTTGACAGATCCATGCAGCTTAAAGCTAAGGAACAACTTGAAAGGTCCTAAAGAATACCAGTCTTGAGGCTTCTCTTGGCAGTATTTTAGTCCACATTTCCCCCTGCCTGTAATTACACCTTTTCTTTTTCTTTTTTTCTCTTTTTTAACTTTTTTTTTTTTTTTAAACTAGTGCTGAATTCTCCCATTGGAGAGTTTCTGGCTCTGATTATAGGAGGTTCTCTCTACACAGAGTTGCTCAGCCTCACTCTGTACTGTTTGTCCTTGCAAGTCAGGGAGAACTCAAGCTTTTTATTTCTTCTTCTTCTTCTTTTTCTTCTTCTTCTTCTTATTACCATTATTATTATTGTTATTATTTTGGTTTCTTGTCGGCAAAGATGTTTCTGTGTTGGGGATGAAAGTAATTTTACTTCTTCTAAATGGATGTCAGTATATGTTCATAATTAGCCCAATCACAAGGCATGCCTGGAGAGGAAAACAGCACACAGATATTTGATAGTGTATAAGTACATAATTTGGATTACCTGGAAAAGAATGAGAACAAGTACTTTAAGAGCCAGAACAAAAGTCTACTCTTTAGGTTTCCTCTAGTGTTATTGAAAAAAATGTTTAGTTTATATCCATGTTATTGGAAGGGTAAGTCATGGAATGTCCTCACAACATTCCTCACTTCCAAGCAGGAGCAATGTGTTGGGTGCTGAGGAATCTTCCCCTCTGTGGTACAGCCACCTTTGCCTTTCAATCACCTCCTGTGGTTCCTCTACCATTAATTCAAGCTTTTTAGCTCCTTTGAACAGAATTGCCCTCCACATGTGCTCAGCTCTCTCCTTTGGATTGCAGGTCTCTGGAAGTCTCCAGGCTCCTGAACTTACCCGCCTGCATCAGAACTGATGCACCTCACAGTGCTCCTGGTGCTGCTTCTCTGAGCTTGACAGAAACAGTGCCCTCTGGGGCATATTACAGCAATTCAACTGGACAAGTAGAGAAAAATAAATACCACTTAAGGAGTAGTAAAAAAAAAAAAAAAAAAATGGCTTTCAGTCTTTTTGGAGCTGTATGTTGGAGGAAAAGGATTTATTTTGGGGGCAATCAGGCATGGAGATGGGCTAGAGGTGGAGCAAACAGTGGGTGAGCCTAGACTTGCTTGGCCAACGTTGCTCAGCACACAAGAGAAACAAAGCTGGCTTTGAGAGAAGGTTCGAATCTGTGGATAACATCTTTCTTATTGTTGAAAAGTCATTTCTAGAATGCCAGATTGTCACAAATAGCACTGCAGAAACAGTGGACCTAGGTTGTAAGTACTTTTTAGCCTTCACATCTTCAGTTTGGACAGCTCCTTTCTCTGGCTCAGGAGGAGAAGGCGATGGAATCAAGCCTGCCAAGACAATAAAAGCTTTTCAAGACCATGATCTGTTAGATAAACAATTTTCCTTCTATTCCCCATCCTATAAATGCTGCTCTGACTCTGACTTATTATTGCGTGTATCTAAGAATATAAAATCTTCTATTAATCACAAAGTACTGGAACCTATTCATTTAATTGAACACCCCTTCTCACCCCCAGTACAACTATGTAAAGTAGCAACGTAATGGAAAGAACACAGAACTGAGAAAGATAAGCAGTACTATAGCATTTGTTGCAATCAGTCAGTGAATATTACATTTGCCTTTTAACTCAACATGCACTTTAGATTTAAACTTCTACAAAACTTAGTAGAAGGGCTAATATTTAAAATTTTATTCAAGATGATTCATTGCATTTTTTTAACTTTTGAAGTCTAAGAAAGACCATAATTTTCTGTTCCTAGGTTGTTCCAGCACACTTAGAGAGAGAGAGAGGGAGAGGGAGAGGGAGAGAGAGAATATGTGCAAAATAAAGAATTACTGTATCTGGCATACATCAACATGAAACTTTCCCTTTAGGATTCTCCCTGCATTTGCATAGACACAGTTTATTGAAGTTGCTTTAAAATTATAAGAAGGCAAGTGAATAAAGCCTGTTTGTATAAGGAATGTCGTGTACCACTTTGAGTTGTGATGATCACCTCTTTCACCCATTTTTTATCATCATCCCAAAATGAAGCAATAAAATTGAATTTCTTTAGACTGTGAAGCATTTATACTAGTATTGCTTATAGAAAATGAATACTGATGATGTATAATGTTCAACTTAATCAGGATTAATATGCTGTCTCAAATGATTAAAAGGCAAAAGATGAGCTCAGTTCATTTTAGGTTTGGAGTATTTTAGTCCATATTTTAAAAGTAAGTTGAGTACAGGGCTCGTTTTTTTTGTTTTGTTTTTTAATATACAAAAAGTTCTGGGCTTTTGAAAACTCTGTATATTTAAGTACTATTGTCATTCTGAGGGCTAATAAAATACCACTACTTGAAAATCACTGAAACCTCAGTCACCTTTCAGCAGCTATGTATTGTCTATTCCAATAGAAAGTGTACATACTAAGTTCACAAATAGACTAAATAAATGTTCATTTTCCTTCTTTTCTTCTAAAGACATAGCATATTTATGTGTCTGTATGTATGTCAGACATGTGATTTCTACTTTCTTTAAAATTAGAGTGCATCAAGGGAAGAAAAATAAAAATTCCTACTTTATCAAAATACTAGTGTGAGAATAAGACTTGGATTTATAAGGAAGCATTTGAGGGAGAGGGTGTGCATAGTTAACGTTTGAATGTATAATCATAGTATTTAAATACAACTTGATAAATGCCGTGAAAATACATGGAAAACATTTGCTGAGAATTCTTGCTGGAAAAGTCTTGCCTAGCTCTGCACTTTTGATTTTCCTGTCTTTTCTATGTCACTTTTTTTCTCTGAGTCATACTCTTTAAGAGGATATTGCTTAAGTTTAGTTTCCTACCCAACTCCACTTCAGTCTCCATATCCTAAGATTATTATATTGTCCTCTAATTTCTAATTTCCCTCTTTCAACATGTGCTGAGTACCTTCATTAACCAAGTGCCTACTGTGTGTTATACACTTCGTTAGACTTCTAGATCCTCAGTCTTGCTGATAAAGAGCAAATTTAATACAAAAGGTGTGCTTTGGGTTGAGGCTGAGGTCATCTCAGGCATTTCATTTTCCATGAAGGAAACAGCCTATTGTCTCATTCTCTCCTGAAAGCCTCAGCCCTAGCACCCAGTAGGTGCTCATCCAGCTTTTATTTCAGAGTTGACCTAGTGGCTAATGGTTTCTATAAGCAGGAAAGACATTTAGTTTGTTACAGATATTGTAATAATGAAGGTATATTCAAAATTATTTTGGCACAATATATGTGTTCCATTACTTGTTCTAAGATTACATTTGGTTCTACTTTCCCTTTTCCTAATTTATCTTTTTATTTTTTATCAATCAATATCTATTAACCCCACTATGTGTTTAGCATAGTCTTTGAAATAGTGGTGTTCCCCATATATACACTGTATAGTATAATATATATCAACCAGAGGTTTTGGGTCCACTTGGGTAAATAAATTACATGCATATTAACTATTAAAGAATGACACAGTGATACGATAAAAAAAAAGAGTCTCATAATCAAGAACCACCTCAGTGGTACAAATAGTGATTTAAATTTATAATAACAGGTGATCACTGATTTTGAATGGGAAGGAAAGTTTTGTAGAAGTTACTGAGCTTGAGCTGGGTCTGAAAAGACAGGCAGAATTTGGAGACCTGTAACAACACTATCTGTTGTTATCTGTGTACATAATTCTCTGTGTACATAATTCTCTGAAGTTTACAGGTGTTTTTCCAGGCAGTGACTGCTTTAGTCCTCTCCTGTGTGCTGTGAGTAAAGTACCCCAACCTCCATTTTATGTATGTGAAAAAATCTCAGCCAGAGTTAAAGTAACTTGCCCCATGTCATAGAGAAACCTGGACTTGCAACTTAAAGCTTCTGATTAAAACCTCCTTTCCTCTCTATCACAGTTGCTTCCAGATATAAAAATGACATGAAGGGAAAGGTAATTGACATAAAGAAAGGCCCAGAGATTCATGATCATGAACTCCCGTGGTCATTTAAAGCTAGATTTTATGTAGAAACCAAAGAACATTGCAAAGGACCTTTTATATAAAAATTCTGTGATAAAAGACTAATAGAAACATGATTCTTAGAACACTAGCATAAAACGTGCTTTGAAAACAGACTGACTTGGGTTTAAAGCCTGGTTCTGCTTCTTAATTGTCACCTCATTTTCCAAGTTCCATGGAAATGCCTTCTTTTTTCTTCAACTTTTCCTCACTCTTTATGTATAATTATTGCCTTCCTCACCAGTTTTCCTATTGATGACTAACTAATAATAATACTTATTTATATACATATACACACATATATACAGTTGATATTGTTTGGATATTTGTCCCCACCCAAATCTCATATTGAATTATAGTCCCCAGTGCTGGAGGCTGGGCCTGGTGGGAGATATTTGGGTCATGGGAGCTGATCCCTCATGGCTTGGTGCTGTCTTCCTGATAGGAAGTTCTCATGAGGTGTGGTTGTTCAGAAGTGTGTGGCACCTCTGTCCCCCACTCTCTTATTTGCTCTTGCTTTTGTCGTGTAAGCTGCCTGCTCTCCCTTTACCTTCTGCCATGAATGAAAGCTCCCTGAGGCTTCACCAGAAGCCAAGCAGATGTTAGCACCATGCTTCCTGTAATGCTTGCAGAACTGTGAGCCAATTAAACCTCTCTTCTTTATAAATTATCCAGCCTCAGGTATTTATAGCAATGCAAGAAAGGCCTAATACAACAGTATATATGTATTTATGGGTATATGTAATATATATATATTTTGTAAAATTTTATATAATTTATATATACCCATATCTTATTTATCTGTCTATATTTTATACTGCTTCCTACGCTAGACACTGTTCTAAGAAATTTACAAACTATTTACTCATTTAATCATTGCAATAATCCTCTAAGATAGGCTCTTTATACCATTATTTTGTTGATGAGTTATCTTTTACTAAAACACAGAGAGGCCAGATTCTAGGTCTTGAATATTTGTATCCCTCCAAATTCTTATGTTGAAACCTAATCACCAGGGTGATGGTAGCAAAAGGTGGTGCCTTTGGAAGGTGATTAGGTCATGGGCGCTCCACTCTAAGAACGGAATTAGTGCCTTTATAAGAGTCCTCAGAGATCCCTGTTTGCTCTTCCATCATGTGAGGACATAGCTAGGAGGCACCATCTTTAATGCAGAGAGCAATCCCTCACTCGACACCAAATCTGCTGGCACTTTGATCTTATATTTCTCAGCGTCCTGAACTGTGAGAAATACATTTCTATTGTTTATCAATTAGCCAGTCTACGGCATTTTGTTATAGCAGCCCAAATGGACTAAGACACTAAGTAACCAGCTAAATGTCCTTCAGCCAGGTGGGACGATGGAATGCGAATTCAGATAATGCCATGCCATGGTCCATGTTTAAACCACTATACTGTGCTCCTTCTCATATTATCTCTTTACATTACCATTATGTGTTTGATTTGGTTGTCCCAGCTATACTGTAAACTTGTAACTTTTTGTCTTTTTCATATTTATATCCTCAGAATCTGACATAGTATGTGGAACATGGAAAGGATGTAATCTAGTGTGCAAAAATGTCCAGTAACATTGGTCTCTGTGGGAAAGGAGAGGTATTATCCAGTATGACTTCTGCATGAAATCCCATGGCAGGTGGGGTAGCACTAAGTAGAGGTGAAGGGAAGCAAGGCAGGGTAGATAGATTGGTGTTCAAAAGGCTTTTTATTCTATGTTGATCTTTTTGTAGGGAAAAGAAATAATTGTAGTTCTTTAGTCAAAAAATGACATTTTAGAGAAATAAGCAACAGCAATGTGATGTGCTTTTGAAAAGGAAAAATACTGGAGAATGGGGGATCCATGAATATATTCTTACAATATTTCAGGAAGGAGACAAAAATTTTTGGCAGAGACAGTGGAGATGGAGAGGAAGCTACAGTTTACAGCAGTTAGATGAAACCAGGAAAAGTTGATATGGGATTGGAAGGAAAAGAAAGCATTAGAGTACTTCAGGGAGTAGTTATATTCCTATAGCTAAGTAGGCTATATGGCAAACTGCGAGGAAAGAAAACATGTTCTGATTTGGACATAGATTGATGTATCTTTAATATGTCTATAGATGGGCTCCTGGTAGAAGATACACAGGTGTGGTGCACTGGCATTTTTAAGAAAGATATGGACTGAAGGTCACATTTGAGAGACATCATTTTTTAAATGATAAGTGAAGTCATGGGGATGGCTTAAAAATGTATCACACCTAACAAAAGCAAATCAAAGAAAAAAATCCTTCGAAATATCAGCATTTATGGGGCAGATGAAAGAAAACCTACTAAGGAAGCCTGGAAAGAACTTTATGTTTTTGGCAAAGCAAACAAATAAGCAAACTAACAATAATGACAAAACCCCAACCAACCAACCAAACAAACAAAACACACACACACACACACACACACACACACAAATATTCTTTCTATTAAATATTCTAGGCCAGAGGTTAGCAAACTATGGCCAGTGAGCTAAATCTAGCCTGCTGCCTGATTTGTAAATACAGTTTTATTGGAAGTGAGCCATACCCATTCATTTATGTATCATCTATGGTTGCTTTCACACTAAAACTGCAGAGTTGAGTAGTTGAGACAAGGACCATATGGTTGCAAATCCTAAAATATTTACCATCTGGCCCTTTACAGAAAAAGTTTGCTGACCCCTGTTTTAGATACAAAACAAGAGAAAAAACAATTATTAGATAAACTATCTACTTCATTTTCAGAGTTATATTTTAGGAAACAAATACTTTTATAAATGAAAGACCACCACTTCACTTCATGTGGCAGGATAAAAAACAACATGTATACAATTCTACAGCATTGCTTTGGAATACGAGGAGAGTAGAGCATTTTAGATTTACCCTATAGGAAAGGCACTACTGTATGAAGAAGACAATAGGTCAGCTAGCTTCCTTTACATAAAAAAAGATTGTTCTCTTCTATCTATGTCAGATCTTTGAAATTTTCACTTACTCTTGGCTCCCTTTTTATGAAGACACTACTTCATTCAGCTTCATAAATCACACTAGGAAAATACAGTTAAGAAAAAGGCTTGCATTATGGACTCATTCAATTAAACATTCTGGAGGGCATGATTGCTTTAGGCCTGAAAATGGAACAACATCTCAGTAGAAATTAAAAACATAAAGGAATGTGTTCAGGTAATTGCTTATTAAACTTTCAAACCCCAATGACAATAACAAGTTTAAATTGATTGCTCAATATGTTTAAACTAGATGATGCTGAATGTACAACCAAGCTGCACCACTGAGGCCTGAAAGTAAACCTTATTGAACAGTTAAGTACAGGAGTACCTTTTTGCCTCTGGGGGCTTGGAGATAATTCAATAAGGCTGGCTGAGATAGTCCAAATTAAATTGGTTAGTAGCAAGTGCAACGGTTTCTAGTCTGTGATGACCCTTAGCTCAGAAGGTTTCAAATCAGCTGTGGGTCTTGGCAATAGAAAGAACAAAGCACTCATATTCTTGCCTATAGAGCAGTGGTCCCCAACCTTTCTGGCACCAGGGACAGGTCTCATGGAAGACATTTTTTCCAGGGACTGGGGTAGGGGTTGGGGGATGGTTTTGGGATGATTCAAGCTCATTAAATTTATTGTGCACTTTATTATTATTACATTGTAATGTACAATGAAATCATTATACAACTCATTATAATGTAGAATCATTAGGAGCCCTGAGCTTGTTTTCCTGCAACTAGAAGCTCCCATCTGGGGGTGATGGGAGACAGTGACAGGTCATCAGGCATTAGATTCTCATAAGGAACATGCAACCCAGATCCCTCACAAGCACAATTCACAATAGGAATCATGCTCCTATGAAAATCTAATGCACCTGCAGGCGAGGGGTTGTGGGGACTGGGGTTGTGGGGGTTGGGGACCACCCCTCTAGAGTACACTTTCAATGTCATTTATCGTTTTCCTACAGGAATCTCTCCTGGTTCCCCACTTCTCTTCCTCACTACTCATCCATACATTGGACACCTGCAATGATCTAATTTTGAAATAAATTTGTCTGATTTTCTTAAATGCCTAATTAGCATACACATTGCCTTTAGATAAAACCTTGTAAGTCATTATTAGGACTAGTTCTATAAATACTCTGAATATTTTCTTTAGGGAATTCCTATCTCAACTTTAATACAAGATAGCTACACTTAACTAGAAATTTTAAAATTCACTCTCCTGTAATTATATATTTTATTATGGATGCTATACGCATTCTAATCTGTAAGTTACAAACAAAATTTAATGTCTGAGATTTAATGTTTACTCTTCCAGGAATGTCACAGAATAAATACATATTCACATAATTTTCTACATTATTTTCAGCTCTAGCTATACTACTATACAATATTCAATGATGTATAGAATGGTGATCTGGAGACCTTTGATCAAATATAAAAGCAACGATTACATTATAATCTCAAAGCTAAAGAAGGGAAGTAAAACAACATATATTCATCCTACAGGTGAAATAAGAGCCAATCATCTCCATCCATAAATGAGAAAATTTCATTACCCAGAGCATCCCACTCCCCTTTTTAAAACTGGGGCTGAGTATCATATACTTTTCTTCTTTCTTTCTTTTTTCTTTCTTTATTTACAGCTGGAGAGAGTGGAAATTGAACTGTGATATATAGAGAAGGATGCTCTGGATATGGTCTCTGTAATGGGAAGTTTATTATACATACTTGGAGACTCTTAAAAACTGAAGAGTACCATATGGAATTTAAAGTAGTTTTTTTCTAATTCTGTGAAGAAAGTCAATGGTAGCTTGATGGGAATAGCAATCAATCTATAAATTACTTTGGGCAGTATGGCCATTTTCACAATATTGATTCTTCTTATCCATGAACATGGAATGTTTTTCCATTTGTTTGTGTCCTCTCTTATTTCTTGAGCAGTGGTTTGTAGTTCTCCTTAAAGAGGTCTTTCACATCCCTGTATAGCCAAGACAATCCTAAGCAAAAAGAACAAAGCTGCAGACATCACGCAACCTCACTTCAAACTATACTACAAGGTTACAGTAACCAAAACAGCATGATACTGGTACCGAAACAGAGAGACACACCAATGGAACAGAACAGAGCCCTCAGAAATAACACCACACATCTACAACCATCTGATCTTTGACAAACCTGACAAAAACAGGCAGTGGGGAAAGGATTCCTTGATTAATAAATGGTGTTGTGAAAACAGGCTAGCCATATGCAGAAAACTGAAACTGGATCCCTTCCTTACACCTTATACAAAAATTAACTCAAGATGGATTAAAGATTTAAATGTAAGACCTAAAACCATAAAAACCCTAGAAGAAAACCTAGGCAGTACCATTCAGGACATAGGCATGGGCAAAGACTTCATGACTAAAACACCAAAAGCAATTGCAACAAAAGCCAAAATAGACAAATGGGATCAATTAAACTAAAGAGCTTCTGCACAGCAAAATAAACTATCATCAGAGTGAACAGGCAACCTACATAATGGGAGAAAAATTTTGCAATCTACCCATCTGAGAAAGGGCTAATATCCAGAATCTACAAAGAACTTAAACAAATTTACAAGAAAAAAATCAAACAACCCCTCAAAAAGTGGGCAAAGGATATGAACAGACACTTCTCAGAAGAAGACATTTATGTGGCCAACAGACATGAAAAAAAACTCATCGTCACGGGTCATTAGGGAAATACAAATCAAAACCACAATGAGATATCATCTCATGCCTGTTAGAATGGTGATCATTAAAAAGTCAGGAAACAACAGATGGTGGAAAGGATGTGGAGAAATAGGAACACTTTTACACTGTTGGTGGGAGTGTAAATTAGTTCAATCATTGTGGAAGACAGTGTGGCAATTCCTCAAGGATCTTGAACTAGGAATACAATTTGACCCAGCAATCCCATTACTGGGTATATACCCAAAGATTATAAATCATTCTGCTATAAAGACACATACGCACATATGTTTATTGCAGCACTATTTACAATAGCAAAGACTTGGAACCAACCCAAATGCCCATCAGTGTTAGACTGGATAAAGAAAATATGGCATATATACACCATGGAATACTATGCAGCCGTAAAAAGAATGAGTTCATGTCTTTTGCAGGGACATGGATGAAGCGGGAAACCATCATTCTCAGCAAACTAATACAGGAACAGAAAACCAAACACCACATATGCTCACTTATAAGTGGGAGCTGAACAATGAGAACATATGGGCACAGGGAGGGGAACATCACACACTGGGGCCTGTCAGGGGGTGGGGTCAAGGGGAGGGATAGCATTAGGAGAAATACCTAATGTAGATGATGGGTTGATGCGTGCAGCAAACCATCATGGCACATGTATACCTATGTAACAAACCTGAACGTTGTACACATGTATCCCAGAACTTAAAGTATAATAAATAAATAAATAAATAAACAAACTGGAGTAAAAATACATCAAAGGAAAAAGGCATGAGGGTAAGAGTGGACTGTAGAATAGCCATTTAGACGAAGAGAAAATAGAAAAGTGATAGGTTCTTTAAACAGGAGAATTGTGATCCATGAAAAGAGTTTGAAATCAAAACCAGATTTTCTAGAATCTCCTTTTATGTTCCAGCACCCGACTGTGACCACAATTGAAATGAAAATCCTTATGGATCAGATTCTCCCGGGTGAAAAGCTTCTTTGCTTTAACACCTTTCTTGCAGATATTTTCTGGATGTTTTAAATGTAATTGGTGAGTTCTGGTTTCTGCTTTCACATGAGTTCCTGTCACAACTCTTCACAGATGCACTGTTGATAGTTAGACTGGCTAGTTGTTATGCAGAAAACAAAAATTAGTGATAAAATTGCAAAGGTTTGGTTTTCTCCCAGGCCCAGCACAGGTCTACTAGGTACTCTACTCCATGTGGGCTTCACTCTGGGACCCAGGCTCTTAGAATGGCATCTATTGGGATCTTATTGGAAAGCCACAGCTGAGGGACTAAGAGACAGTGAATTGCACTGTGACTCTTAAAGCATCCACCTGGAAACAAAATCATTTCTCCTCACATTTCACTAACCACGGCTGGCATACAGTCATGCCAAAACACAAGAGAGCTGTTAGGTACCATCATCTTATCTGCTGAAGAAAACCAGAAATATTTGACGGAGAGTCCAGTGAACTATTCCACACCTCTAACACATAAGGCAGTGGACAAGAGCATCTGCTTTTAGCGGGCTATGTCTCCTAATGGGCGATGAAAATTATATGCAAGCAAAAGCAAGCTAGCCAAATTAATGAAACAGGGGCATCTCAAAAGAAGTCTCAAGGAGGAGATGCAACAATGATGTGATTAGCATTTAAACACTGGCTCTACCATTGACTAGCCGTGCAACAGTGGGCAAGTGACTTAATTATACAGATGACTCTGTCTTCTCATCTTGCATAGTAGGATGACTGATAATGCTTTCCTTGTCGGTGTTTTGTGAGAATTATTTGAGATAATGTTTATAATGTGTTTAGATCACATTGTTGAGCATGAACAGGAACTCTGGCTCTTAGCTCATATACTTATCTCTGAGGACCTTGGGTGACAGGGAAGCCTTTGCAGAACAAGATGACTTAAAATTGTCCTGAAAAGGAAGTCTGAATTTATTTTGAAAAAAAAAAAAAAAAAGATGAGAAAGTGAGTGAGGACTTAGAATCAGGGTATGACTACAGTGTTTAGGAAGAGTAAGTCGACTGTTCAGTTGTATCAGAAGGTTTGTGTAGGGTCCTTCTCTTGTTGCAAGTCAGGACCCCATGAAAATTTTTAAGCACAGGATTTTAAAGCAGAGTGTAGGCAAATTAATTTGACAGAAGTGTGTGGGATAGGTTGGAGAAACAACAGCGCAGAGACAGAGCTATTTGTGTAACAAGAGGAAATGGTGGTAGAAAGGAGAACAGAAGACGTTCTCCTTATCTCCTTATAAACATCTTATAGATGTTTTATCTAATAGGAAAACATGAAATCTAGTTAACCATGGTTACCTGATTATAAGGTAATGAGAAAGAAAGGTAGAGAGTTGTGAGGACCAAAACATCTAGTATATTATTCTTCAACGCCTAAGTAGAACGAGGCATGTTAGAGCTGAGTGATTACTCTAACTTAGTTTCCTGTCCTTAGGTGACATATCACAGCTCTGAAAACTACCCACATGCACTTTTCCTTGTGTATTGATGCTATACAGAAAGTCAAAGTGAGCCCGTGAAATTATGTATGTGTACTTGTCTGTTCCTTGGAGAAAATGCCAAATAAGTGGCTCTCAAATAAATATAACAAAAGCTATGAAAGAAATAAACACAAGTGCAGCCAAGTAAACCAATCAGCTTGAAGTTAAGAACTAACATGAATTCAGTTGTTACAGCCGTAATAATTCCATGGCTGTGAACACACCAATGACTGGATTCCTTGGCAGGCAATGTGAGCTACAGCCTGCTGCCAGCTGCTGTATTTAAGGTTGCTTTAGATTAGAATGCAGATGTACAACATTTAAAGTTTATGGTTTAAACATGGATTCATGAATCACTTGAAAGGCACCCCAACCTGTGAAGTTCCAGAACAGCTTTAGACTAAATTACAGATTAACCTGAGCTGTAAAATGCACTAGACACTGCCTTGTGTAGTAGGGACCAGAGACAAAACCTTCTCAAGACTTTGCTTCCAGAGAGCTCTTGACAGACGAACTTTGTGAATGTGTGGACAAAAATGAAATAAGATATTTTTTTAACCTCATACCCATAGGAAGAACAAAGCTCAAGTTTGAGGATTTCAGTGAGCGTAACATTTAAGAGAGCTAAATAAATTTTCTCAGCACAGGAAACAGAGTCAGATCTTTCTGTTTTATTTTCCTCTGATAAGATGCAACTAGGAAGATCTCTATTCAGTTTGTGACTTCATAGCCAACATACTGAGGGACCTGTTAACTCTTTTTATAAATTGAGATTAGCATACATTTCTTTGGGGAAGACAGGGAGGGAGACAGGGAAAAAGAGCTTACTGCAGAAATAAAAAGATCCAACATTTTTATACTGGGTTGAAGAACATATATATCTGAATATTCATAAGGGGTATGATTTAAAGAGTATCTAAGATTGTCTGAAACCACAAGCTCTTCAGTTGTAGAATAGTTGGTGTTGCCTTAGGATTTACTTCTTTTCTTAAAGCCTCTACTTTTAAAGCTTCCAATTTTATTTTTTGCTCAAAAGTTCAATTCTGTTTTCTTCATTTAATATCAGAACTTGTTTTCCTTTCTCCTCTTTACTTTGATGTGCTGTCCTGAAAAAGATATCAGTGATGCTCTCTCATCTTATGGACCTCTGTGCTATTTAGATTTTTTTATTTTACAAATGGAGTCAGCTCCTTTTCACTGACCTAACTACCTGAATTTCTCTCTTCCAGTGCTGCTTATGTCAGAATCTGAGCCATCTTCCCCAACAGTTTCCCGCTGCCTGGGGTGCACCTATCTCATCTTTTGTACTTCTGCTTAGGCTCTAGTTCCTATGTATTCCCATTTTTAATGCAGAGTCATTGTGAATGTTGTGAGCCTACACAAATCTTATTCAGTCTATTCTCTCTCCGTCAAGGCATCCGAGGCAGCATGCATTGACCACATGGATACACTTTGCTATGCTGTCCACTCTTGGTGTTTAATGCCTAATGTCTTTTAAGTGGCGATACTACCTAAGCAAATACAGACATAAGCATAGACACACACAACACATGAACATACTCATGAAAGCGAGTGAATAATGTAATGAAATACTTTTAAGTGGGCAGGAAGGTGAAGGAGACCCTCATTTCCTTGCTGAAACTGGCAGTCTGTGAAGTCTTAGATGTACTTTAGGCTGACGTGTTGTTGTTGTTGTTTAGCTTTTTGAATTAAAATTCCAGACATGGTCGGGCCCAGTGGCTCACGCCTGTAATCCCAGCACGTTGGGAGGCCAAGGCGGGCGGATCACGAGGTCAGGAGGTGGAGACCTTCCTGGCTAACACGGTGAAACCCCGTCTCTACGAAAAATACAAAAAATTAGCCGGGCATGGTAGCGGGTGCCTGTAGTCCCCGCTACTCGGGAAGCTGAGGCAGGAGCATGGCGTGAACCCGGGAGGCGGAGTTTGCAGTGAGCCAAGATCGCACCACTGCACTCCAGCCTGGGCGACAGAGCGAGCCCATATCCCTGCCAGCTGGTTTGCTTCCCACATTTATGTGGCCTAGTTCACCCCTAAAGGTATTTTAGTTTGACTCTTGCTCTATGTATCTCTGCATTGTTTGGACTTTCCATGTTAGACTACAATTAAGAAAGCACAGGAAAAATAAAAGAACAAAAAACACGAATCTAAGAATGTGGCCAGGCTCGGTGTCTCCTATCTGTAACCCCAGCACCCTGGGAGGCTGAGGCAGGTGGATCACCTGAGGTCAGGAGTTCGAGACCAGCCTGGCCAACATGGTGAAACCCTCTCTCTAATAAAAATACAAAAAATTAAAAATAAAAAAGTAGCTGGGCGTGGTGGCACACGCCTATGATCCCAGCTACTCGGGAGGCTGAGGCAGGAGAATCGCTTGAAACCGAGAGGTGGAGGTTGCGGTGAGCTGAGATTGCGCCAGTGCACTCTAGCCTGGGTGAGAGAGCAAGACTCCATCTCAAAAAAAAAAAAAAAAAAAGAGAGAGAGAGAGAGAATATTTGCGCTCTGCCAGTCATTCACAAGGAATGATCACCAAGAGAAAGACCAAAGTTTTCCAAGAGGCTACGCAAAGTGACTAAGTGACTAAGTGACTATTGGTTGAAATGACTTGGTTCTACCCTTGCATTCTCAGAGTTCAACTATATTTTCTAGCAAACTAGAGCAGCAGGTAGATATCCCAGTGTTTTCATTATGTTATTCACAGTTTAAGAATATAGTGCATACCAGATTCAACTGGTTAATAGACAATAAGAGCTAAAACTATCAAAGGAACCTGAAAGGTCCAGTTATGGGACAGCCCCCAATCTCTCCCTATAGACTTTCAGAATGCCATGTCACGTGACAAATGCCAAATTTATTGCTTTTTAATGTTCAGGAACTGTCATGGAAACTGGGAATCTTGAAGTATATATGATAAGGTGCTACCTCTCCCCACCAGAGTTCCCTTCATTACCACTACCCATCCCCGACCCACCAAAGTGAGGCATAAGGTAAAAATATATTACACAAAAGTGCTACTATAGTGGTGCAAATGTATTCTCCTTAAAGTGTGTGTTTGTCTTTTGGGAAAGTCTGTGGAAAGGTTTGTTCCTTCTCTCTATATGGGTGGCAGAGAATACATAGGCGTTTTCTACCACTTTTCTGTTTCTCTCTCTTTCCCTATGCTTTTATAACCCATTTCTTATGTTCCAGCAACATTTTTACAAGTCATGTTTTGGCCCCCATTTACAAGGGCATCGCACAAATCCTGTCTGAAGGCCATCACTTTCCCAACAGAAATAATTTGAGCAAATATACAAGGTTAAGCACCAATTAAGGTGGGAAATGCTGGGTCCTAATGCTGTTCTCGTTACATACTCCTCCCAAGAGACCGCAATGCGGATGAATAGGCAGGTGAGCTCTGCCATAGATTCAGAGTTAGTCTTTCATTTATTCTTGCTTATTGTGGAAAAAAAGGTTATTTAATTAAAATGGGTATAAATTCTAAGATACTGGTCAAAAATAAGTAATGCAAATATTCTTTGAGTGTGATTGATTTTAAACTTGCCTTTTGATTGTCCTTTCCTTTCTGGTAGAACAACAGAAGCTTGTTCTCTGTAAACAGGCTGGGTGATGTATGTGGCACCTGACAGAGAGTCAGTGCCAAAACGTGAAACTTAGAGGAGTGGCTGGCGAAGGGGGAGGGGGGGGGTAGAAATATGACGAAGGGTGCATACACCACTGCCTTCAAAAACTTCACTGACTGCAGGTCTGCCCAGCCTATCTAGTCTTCTGCCAACATAATCATACTATGCTGAGTTTCCTTAAGACCCGACTATTTTCTTTAGTATCTCTCATATGATTTTGTTCCCATCTCAGTAGAAAGCACATCTTGAACAGAGGCTTTTTCTTACACATCTCTGTGCTACCCTGAATACTGCTTTGGTCAGTGTGTTTCTCTTTCTTGGGGATTAAAATATAGCTTTCAAAATTTGCACAGGGAGGCAGTTGGGCCTCCCAATGAAAAAAAAAAGTTATTTACTGGAAGTCCCAGTTGTCTGCAATTTGAAGATGGGGATATGTGATTAAATTAGCCTCTGCTAGGGTTAAAAACAGAACCAAAAAACCCTTCACGCCAGAATCCACAAAGATCATCTGCCATCACAGGGTCATTCATTGCAAGTAGCAGTAGGAGAGGCACCACCTGCCAGTCCCACCAAGAGGAGAGAACAGTTAGGAACAAATGAAGAGAAAAATGGAAGCTGCTGTCATGTTCAAGAGCTTCAAGTTGCGGGATGTTTCTCTTGAATCTGAATACATTATTTAAAAAACCTAGGGAATCTGTTTTGTATTCTGTATTGCACTCTTAAAAACATTTTCTTATTAGGTTTGCTAAGAAAACTCCACTTTTTAGGCTTCCAATAAATTTCTGTGTGCAATAAGCAGAGGGCTGGAAATACCTGCCTCTGTGTCCTGACTGGTCCCATCTGTCCACGTTTGGCAAGCCTAATCTGTATCTCTGCTTGTATTCATGATTGGTTATCACACAACGGAAGGACGTGGGTAGAAGAGCTGTAGACAGTCAGATAACTGAGCTGACCAGGGAGAGGTCTGTGCCTTTTAGTGTAGGGCCACTGCGTGTTTATTTCTTTTCATTCTTCGTGCTTGTTCTTTTCTTAGTCTAGCAAGAAGAAACAAGAAGAAAGTATTTCTAAAGCCTATTTAGAGCAGTTAGAATGTGAAATCAGACTCCCCTGAGGAGGAATCAGACATAGCAGACAGTGTGAACTGTAAGCCCACCACAGGCTTAGACAGAAAAAGATCAAATATCTTTGACATATGGTGGGAGGATTTTAAGGTCCTGATATTAGACGTGCTAGCAAGGGGGGATGCCCGTTGCAGGAAAGAGAGAAAAACGTGGAAAGTAGTTTTTTGGTTGCAGATAATTAGCCATACGTGTTTCTGAGCTTCAAAACCTCGTTTGTTAAGTACATTAAAAATGACACAGTATTTGATTTAGATCCACAGGAAAAGGAAAAGATGAAGTCAGAAATCACATTAGTAATTCTGTTGTACATAAAAAAAATTCAAGGCAGAGTACAAATTGAGGTAAATGAAAGTAAAACAAAGATCAGTCAGAGTAATGGCATAGTGGATGACAACAGCTTGTTAAACCTATACATCTAGAAGTATAAGGAGACTGATGGAAATGCACTTTACAACTCTAATGGATATATTTTAAGAAAGATGCTTTAAAAGCATACAGTGTTCATGAAATACTTTAAAACGATTCAGTGGCCCCAATTAGGTACATTAGAGAGGTAAAACTAATAAAAATACTGTAGCATTAGGACAGAGAGCCTATCCTGCTTTATTCTATTCAACAGGTGTTGTGGAGTTGACAAGGACTCTCCGAATTTTTTTTCTCAGATGTGTCTTATAAGAACTCAAGACATACATCTTCAGTTGGTTTTGCTTTTTCTCATTATTGTTATTGTTTTGTTTCTAGGTTAGACTATTTTGGGAGAAATATGCAGAAGGTAAAAATCTAAAATTTCTTCTAGTTTTTCTTAAAATTCTTTACACATTTAGAGACATAGTTAAAATACTAATCTGGAAAATTGATTTTAAAATAAATAATTACACATGAATAAATATCAACCTAAAATATGTTTTTAAAACTGAATATTCCACTTTAATTTATAGTAACTGATTATTATAATACATATGATACATTGCAATTACTTGTTACAGATAAACTGTCTTTTTTTAGCTAGGCCTGTGATTTCTGTTGATGACAGTAGTGCAAATTTCTAATTATTTTCAGGTTCACAGAGTCTCTAGTTTTTTTTTTTTTTTTTTTTTTTTTTTTATTAATCCAAGAGTTTCCTCTCATTTAATCTGCCTGTTTCTGGTGAACTTGCATATTAAATCATTATTATTTTATCATTTTTGTTAGATCAAATTTTTTCCTTAACCCTTGTCTTTTTACCTAATTTGTCTATTATCATGAGACTTCGCTGATCTCATTTTTTTATTCATCAAAATCACCTACATTAGTAATTAAATATATTATCTTTCAACATAACACAACCTCAAGACAGCAATCAGACAGTTTTCTAGGTCTGACCCTCCAGGGGTCATAGCTTCGTATGGTGCTCAAGAGTGATTTTTAAAAGATTTAATAGCCAATTCGGCAAAGACTGACCAATCAGAATAAAAAAATAAGTCATTAGGGCTGAGGCAGAGTCTCAGAGGTTCCCTGATGTGGCAGACATTAACACTTGAATTGCTGAATTGATTGTGGCCTGTGTGGCTTCCTGGGAGATGGCCCAGGCTAGCTGGTTGGGATGCTCACAGCTGTGGTCATTCACCAATTTCTAAGTCTTTCATTATTCAACAGCAAAAATGTTTATGCAGGATCTGAGTGTGTGCCTGATGCATGTGACCCCTGGGGAGGTTGTCTCTCCAGAGATCCATCTAGATACGCTTCAGGTGTGTGTCTACCCAAATCTCATCTTGAATTGTAACTCCCACAATTCCCACATGTCGTGGGAGGAACCTGGTGGGAGGTGGCCGAATTATGGGAGCGGGTCTTCCCTGTGCTGTTCTCGTGATAGTGAATGAGTCTCACGAGATATGGTGGTTTTAAAAAGGGAGTTTTCCTGCACAAGCTCTTCTTATCTTGTCTGCCGCCAGTGAGACGTGCCTTTCATCTTCTGCCATGATTGTGAGGCCTCACCAGCCACCTGAAGCTGTAAGTCCAATAAACTGCTTTTGTTTGTAAATTGCCCAGTCTCAGGTATGTCTTTATCAGCAGTGTGAAAACTCATTTCTTCCTCAAATACTTGTAGGAGGTCCCCATTCATGAGTGATTTAGCACCTTGCTACTTGCAGCGTAGTATATGGCTCAGCAACATCATAGCCTCATCTGGAGTTTCTTGGCAAGACAGAATCTCAGGCCCTACCCTAGACCTACTAAATCAGAATCAGCATTTTTGCAAGGTCCCTGCGTGACCTGTGTGCACCTTGAAGTTTGGGAAGCATTGGTTAGCACCTGCATCCTGGCTGGCCAGGAGGTATAAATGAGTTTATTCAGTATTTTTTAGTCCAGACCACAGATTAGAAGCCCCTGGGAAACATTTTAAAAATGCACGTGGCTAGGTCCTATCCCATGAGAATCTAATTTAATTGGTCTGGGATGGAGCTTATAATAGCAATTTTTAAAAACTTTACTTGGTGATTATTCTGTGCAGCCTGGGTTAAGAATAATGACATCTCTATCTGATGTAACTAGAGTAGGTATAATTTGTTTCATCTGGGACAAAAATGGACAGAACCGCATGGCAAATTTACTCATATTTGCCACTGGGCTTGAAAATCAAAGTTGGCTTCAGGCTCCTCTGCTGTCAAGAAATTCAGCAGGTGACCCCTTTGAACAGAAATGTATCTATTAATTGTGGTTTTATGCCTAATTTCTTTAAGACAGAAAATTACAAGACATGGGGAAAGAATCTGCTATTATTTTAGACTGGTGGTCTCAGGAATTAAGATTTTCTCATGTACAATGTAAAACTGGCCTTCTATGTGAGACTCTCCTCTCATGCCAAGTTAGAGTTCATTCATTCATTCATTCCTCATTCATTTAGTTATTCAATCTTTCATTCAAATTATATACATGGATCTTTCTATGTCACCAGTAACATAACTGGTAAAAAGGACAGTGTCTCCAGTTGGATCTTCCTTTTGCTATCTGCCTCTCAGTATGAAAATATGACCATCTAATTTTCTCTTCAAGCTGGAAAAGTAGGTTTTGCTAAATATGGACAAAATGCATTTTTTTATAATATAGAGAAATTATCTGACATTAAAGGGCAATTCTTAAATACAATAGATTTTGTTCATTTTCCATAGGTATTTCTCTGTCAATCAGTTTCCTGAGACATGAGGCACCAGTTAACAAGATGCACCTCACCAAGCTGTTGATCACACACTACTGCCCAGCTGTTGCAAACCGAACTCTCATCATATAGAGAGGGAGAGGAAGAAAAGGTGTTTTTGCCAATGCCATGAAAGGCAACAGTAAGGCAACTTATTAGAGATAATCTAGTAACTAACCTGTGAGCTCTAATCTGAGATACAACTTCAGGGACCACGCATAGTCTGTGGTCCTGAAGTAGTGAGCCATTGTGTACTTTTTTCACCAATGCCTCAATGATTGCAATTGATTTTTTTCATGCATGCATGCATTAGTCCAACAAACTTTTATTGAGCACCTGCTATATGGGTTGCACTCTGTGGAACTTTGGAGAAATAAAGAGGTGTTTTCTGGTCTCACATTGTTTCTAGGCTAGAGAATTGCTTCTGTGAAAATATCAAATGCATTATATTATAATCACTTCTTTTAAAAAAAACTTTTATTTAAGTTCCGGGATAGATGTGTAGGTTTGCTACATAGATAAACATGTATCATGGGGTTTTGTTGTACAGATATTTCATCATCCAGGTATTAAGCCTAGTACCCATTGGTTGTTTTTCCTGATCCTCTTCTTCCTCCTACCCTCCACCCTTCAATGGGCCCCAGTGTGTGTTGTTCTCCTCAGTGTGTCTATGCGTTCATTTTTTAGCTTCAACTTATAAGTGAGAACAGGGTGTATTCTCTGTTTTCTGTTCCTGTGTTAGTTTGCCAAGGATAATGGCCTCCAGCTCCATCCATGTTTCCTGCAAAGGATATGACCTCTTTCTTTTTTATGGCTGTATAGTATTCCATGGTATATATGTACCACATTTTCTTCAGTCTAATGTTGACGGGCATTTAGGTTTATTCCATGTCTTTGTTATTGTGAATAGGGCTGCAATGAATATACATGTGCATGTGTTGTTGTAATAGAATGATTTATATTCCTTTAGGTGTATACCAAGTAATGAGATTGCTGGGTCGAATGGTATTTCTGTCTTTGGGTCTTTGAGGAATCACCACACTGGTTTTCACAATGGTTGAATTAATTTACACTTCCACCAACAGTGCATAAGCATTCCTTTTTCTCCTCAACCTCACCAGCTTCTGTTATTTTTTGACTTTTTATTAGCCATTCTGACTGGTGTGAGATGGTATCTCAATGTAGTTTTGACTTGCATTTCTCTAATGATCAATGATATTGAGCCCTTTTTCATATAATTGTTGGAAACATGTATGTCTTCTTTTGAAAATTGTCTCTTTGTGTCATTTGCCCACTTTTTAATGGAGTTATTTGTCTTTTTCTTGTAAATTTGTTTAAGTTCCTTGTAGATGCTGGATATTAGACCTTTGTCAGATGCATAGTTTGCAAAAATTTTCTCCCATGTCTCTATTTCACCCCCTAGGCCAGGAACTCCTTGATGGTAAAGATAGGGTCTTATTAATTTACATATATGTAGACTGTTTAGCACAATTTTTGGTATGTTACATACTCATTCAATATTTTGTGGAAATACATTTGTGAATACATCTCGCAGTGTTGGATTCTGAGTAATATAAGAAAATTTAACATTCTAGTTGTATGTGCTGCTGTATCCCTATACTTCCTAGATAATGAATAAGAGAGGCAGTGATTCTAGGTTTTTACTTATACTTTGATTAATTACAATTAGCAACGACAGGATAGATTGTTGTGTTGGAGCCTTAAAAATTAGTAATCACTGGAATCTCAAAATGATAAAAATGTCTTGAAATGAAGTGGAGTCGTTTTTTTGTTTGTTTGTTTGTTTTTGTTTTTTTAATTCTGAGGGTCATTTTACTTCCTCACAGACGTGGAAGTCTATGTTAACACTGTGTCGCTATAAAACAGCCAGACTTACCCTAGATGATCTCTTGATCTCTGTGTGGACTAAACAGTTTAGAGGTTAATTTGTGGTGATAAAATTATCTTAGGTGGACTGGGGATTCTGGCTCTGTGTCTCCAATATAGTACTAATTAATAATTAACACATAAAGAAAGGAAAGTGTAAATCAGTAACTCTAGTTCCCTCAGGAAAATCTAGGCCTCTTTCTCAGATTCATAAGCTGACCCTGAAACCCCCCCAAATTCCTCAGAAATGACAGTATGATATGTTAAGCCTCTCATCCTTTACTTGCCCTTTGATTATGTGATATTCACTTTTTAATTACACAATGGTTCCCACAAGAGGCATTAGCTCTCATTTCATCTACCATTTATTGAGAGCTTAGTCTTCTCCAGCCACTGTAGCAAGCTATAGCTATGTAATCCAACTTACGATTTTGAAATACTCTTAAGAGTTGGCTATATAAGTTCTCATTTTGCAAATTTTAAAAAAAGGCTCAGAGAATTACTCTACATCATTTGACTACTAGTAATTGGCAGAACTAAAATTCTCCTGGATTTTTATGATTCCAACTTTGTTCTGTTATTCACTGCCCCTTTGGACAACTTTTGTTGTAATTTCTTGCATAAAAAAGAACACAACTGGCTATGTTTCATTGAAAAAACTGCCATTTCAGGTTATTTATTTTCCCTTAACTTTGCAGAGACAATGCAAGAATTCAAGCTAGTGAGTCTCTCTATGATATCAGGAAATTTGGTGAATCACAGAAAGCACAGATGTTCACGAAATGTGATATTGAATGAAAGGCCATGTATTTGTGAAAGAAAACCTGTCTGAGAAGTCTGTTGGCATTCTTTTAGTTACTCGGATAGGAAAAAAAATTTTGCTGTGTGGAAGAGAATATACACTGGACCAAGAGGCAGAGAATGTGGGCCCTGATCCCAATTCCCTGACATATTAGATTTGCCATCTAGAAACAAAGCATGATTTCTCTCTCTTTTGCCTCAGGGAGAACGAAGTAAAAAAGTGAATATGGACATACTTTGTAAATGTTAAAGCACTCTGAAGATGAATGTCTTAGGAGTATTTTTGTATTGTTGTATGAGAAGTTATCTGAGCATGAAATGTACTAGGTTTCTACTCAAGCACACCAGGCCTCCATTTTGAAAACTGGGAAGGAACCTTTGGGGAAATGAGGGTTGTACTCCACCTACTTATTTACTGCAATAGCCAACCCACCCAAAGTCTGGTCAAATTTACATCCTAAATACCTCAATTTACCCAATTCTCCCCATCCCTATCACTAGTACCTAATTCAATCAACCGGTATCTTACATCTGGACTCCTGTAGGAGCCTCCTAAGTAGTTTCCCTGTAACTACTTGTTGTTCCTTCCAATCCATTCTTCAAACTGTAGCCAGAGTGAACATTTCATAAATCAAAACTATTTGGATGACTGTCTTAGTTCATTTGTGTTGCTATAAAGGAATACCTGAGGCTGGGTAACTTATTAAAAAAAGAGGTTAATTTGGCTCACAGTTCTGAAGGCTGCACAAGAAACATGGTGCCAGCATCTACTTCAGGTGAGGGCTTCAGACTGCTTCCACTCATAGCGGAAGGCGATGAAGAGCCAGTGTGCCCAGAGCTCACATGGCAAGAGAAGAGGCAAGGTAGGGGTGGTAGGTGGCAGGCTCTTTTTGCAGCCAGCTCTCACAGGAACTAACAGAACAAGTACTCACTCGTTAACATGGGGACAGTACAAAGCCACTCACGAGGGATCTACCCTTATGACCCAAAGACCCTTAATTTGGCCTCACCTACAGTATTGGGGATCAAATTTTGACATGAGGTTGTGGGTGACAAACATTTATAATATAGCAGTCCACCTTTGATCTTTTAAATCACACATCCTTCTTCTCACATATAAAATACAATCATTCCATCCCAATAGTTTCCAAAAGTCTTAATTTGTTCCAGCACCAACTCCTAAAAGTCTAAAGTCTAATGGATTTTTGCTTTGGTAATGACCCTTCTTGGATTTTTTAATACTTTCCCATCATTCTTAAGAGATTTCAAATACACTGATGTCATCTGCAGGGCCAGCACCCCACCCCTCCATGCTGCACTACTCTCAGTCCTTGACAGTCCTTTGTCCCTTGTCCTTGAACATGCTATCTTTCATCCTACAACAGGGCCTTTAGTCAGGTGGTTATTTTGGCATGGAATGCTCATTTTGCCAGTCTTTGCTAGTTAACTGTTACTCATTTTTCAGATTCCAGGTCAGCGTTCCCCTTCTGCCTTGAGAATGTTTGATTTCATATCCTTCTGCTTTGCACTGTCAGACAGTACATTCCTTGCTTCATAGCCCTGCATTGATATGTGAAGTTTTTTTGAACTGGTATCTATTTTGCCTTGAGCAATGAAACTATGTTGATTTTTTTGCTTACCTTTTATTTCTTTGCAAAGTGCTGGACAATTCCTCAAATAAATGTTTGTTGGCTAACTGAATGCATAAATAAATTTAAAAGATGTATGCTCCTATTTCTGAAGAGTCTTTAGTTTAGATATATTGATGAAATAAACTCATATATAAATACAAATTCAGAGATTTAGTAATAAAAAAGTAGGAGAGGTAACATTTATTTGGCATTTACTATGTCTCAGCCACCATGTAAGCAATTTACTGTTTCTCATTTAATTCTTTCAACTGAACTTAGAGGCAAGTACTACTGTTTTTACCATCTCCCAATGGACAGTGGCTGAATGACTTGTCCAAGGTCACACAGACAGTCAGAGGTGGGACTATGCTGGGTTTTTACTGGAAGAATACTGAATCATTCACAAAATTGATAGAAGGCTAGAGAAGGAGTCTGGAAGCATAGTTGTTATTCTAGGCAACAGAAAAACCCAGTCAAGTTCAGACCACAGGAAAGATCCAAAGTGTCACAGTGGGCTTTGCTGCCCTAGAACATTGCCCATCCCTGTGGCTGATTTTTCCACTCTGTTGCCTTTGCTATGAACAATTTGTGTATTTGTGGCATATTTTCCAGGTTCTAAGTCCCGAGTAGGAACACCTCATTGGTTGATTCTAGGCCATATATCTGTGCCCTAACTGTCAGGGCCAGGGGACAGGACCCTGTCTCCTGCCAAGACTCCATTAATGTGGGATTCCCCAAGGATCAGAAGGAAGTTTTACGATGGACAGCTAAAATTGTATATATATCTAGTACTTTGATATACCTCTCTGTCCTTTGACTTGTGCCCAATGTGTATAGACACATGTGCTATTATAGTTCCAGTATGTACGAACCCAGTCTGTCGAACAAGCCACATCTCACCAGTGCCACCTTCCAAGTGCATCAGAGAGCATGCTGTAGGTAACTTCAAAGACCTCCAGTACTAGAAGCAAATTGGGCAACCTAGTTAAGAACCACCATGGCCTGGGGTTAAGTGGCAAAGGTCTGTTCCTCAACAGCATGGCACAGTGTGAAAAATAATGACTTGGTGTCAGATGATTCTTGCACATTCCTTCCTGAAGCTATGCCTGGCTTTCATGCAGACCTCTTGAGTAGAAGGTGACACAGAGAAATAGCCTATTGAGGTGGAGTAATCAAGAGTTGCATTAATAACAAAATGGAGGCTTTAAAACAAGGCAATGTACAAAAGCAAAGAGGACCCCCTAAAGAAAACTTCTAGAGGCAGTCGGGTCCAGGTTGTCTTAAATACAGTAATCAATGATCCTCAGGATTAGAACCATACTTTGCAAATCCAAACAGTTTCACGAGGAAGTTTCCCAAGTCAGAGATAAAATGAACCGGTTCTGAGCAAAGGCTATTTGTCTTTGTTTTCTTATGTAGGTAAGGGAAATTATCCCCCTGCCACTCACCAAAGAAAACTTACTCCAAAAAAGAAAAAAAAAAAAAACCCCACAAAAACGAAGAGACAACAGCAATAGGGTTCAAGAAAATAACAGTAATAAAAATGGCTATTTACTAATGTGTGACTCCCATTATAATTTTTAAATTTTCTGAATTCCATGCTTTTCCTTGACAAGTGTATAAGAGCAGAATATACCCAAGATATGCTACTCAGGGAAACTGACATCTCTCAAGCCTGGACTTACTGAAATATACTTTTTTACTTTGTACTTACACCTCCTTTTTTCCTTCTTTTGGCTGTTTCTTCAGCCTTGTGTTTTCCATCACACTGATTCTTTATTCAGTATGCCCATGGCACACAGTGTAGTTGCTGGGAGAAAAATAACAACATTTACTTAACATTTACCTTATTTACTTTTCACCTCCACACCAAGAAGCAGGTGCCACTATTATATCTAATTTAGGGATGAAGAAATTGAGCAGAGATTAAGGTGACTTGGTTTGTGTAATTTCTTGAAGCAACTTGACTCCCTTGGGAGGTTTTAAACATTTTGAGAGAATATTAAGGGAGGGTGTGTGCTACTCCCTCACTGCCACTTTCACGTAGATTTTGGAGTAACTTCTGGTCCAGGGTGAACCAACGCTTAGAATGTGGAACAACTCCTCCTCCTCTTAGCGGCCCTTGCCTGCTAGCCTGTTTGAGTATAAGTACAGTCAAAAGTCCTCAACTGAGAATTAGGACGCCTGGCCTCAGTCCCAGCCCTTACTAACTATTGATGTGCGCTTGAGGAAATCAAATAAGCTTTGTGGTTCATAATTCTCTTATCTGCAAGGAAGGGGTAAAGAGACTTAACACTGGTATGAGGAGTACTGGCAAAATATAAAGCACCCAGAAGATGAAGACAAAAATAACAAGAAATCCAGAAAGCATTTGACGAGTATGGTTTGAAGAAATTGGAAAAAAGTTTAGGGCGGAGAAAATTAAAGGAAACATGATGATTGCCTCCACATATTTTAAAGAAGAAAAGGGATTGAATGTTCTGCATGTTTCTTTAGAGGGAAAAATGTATATGGTTGGTATAAAAATATACAAAAGCAGATTTTAGCTGAATATAATGTTTCAAATGGTTAGGGCTGTTCAGATATGAGATTGACTGCCTCAAAATGCAGAGGCTTTTTCTAATCCTGGAAATGGTCAGAACTTGAGTATCTTTCAGAAAATATTGAAAAATGATGAATTCCTGTAGTGGATGGAGCATTCAGCTATATCAGTGGTTTTCAACTGGAGTGATTTTCTCCTACAGGGGACATCTGGAAATGCTTGAAAACATTTTCAGTTGTCACAACTTAGGGGTAGGTAGGTTGCTACCAACATTTCTGGGTGGAGTCCACGGATGCCGCTGCATCCATAATCCCACATGACAATCTCCCAACAAAGAAGTTAAAAAAACCTGTCAGTCCAGGCCGGGCCTGGTGGCTTACGCCTGTAATCCAGCACTTTGGGAGGCCGAGGTGGGTGGATCACGAGGTCAGGAGTTCACGACCAGCCTGGCCAAGATGGTAAAAACCCCATCTCTACTAAAAATACAAAAATTAGCCGGGTGTGGTGGCACGCACCTGTAATACCAACTACTTGGGAGGCTGAGGCAGAGAATTGATTGAATCCAGAAGGCGGAGGTTGCAGTGAGCCGAGATCGCACCACTGCACTCCAGCCTGGGCGACAGAGCGAAAGTCCATCTTAAAAACAAAACAAAACAACAATAAAAAAAACCTGTCAGTCCAAAATATAAACAGTGTCAAAGCTGAGAAACCCTGAACTAGATGAACTCTAAATACTTTCAAAAATTGGACTCAATGATTTTACAGTTTTCATAAGGTTTCTACAGATGAAAATTTTAATATCAGCTTTACATGTAAACAATTTAAGGAATCTTAAAAAAAAAGTAGAATTTTAACTTTAACATGTTCTTTGCCCACTGACACTAGTTCCATCCATATCCAAAGTTGTTTAAAATGACTCGATTAAATCTTAAATATTGTTTGGTTATGTTATTTTAGTGCATGATTTTAGGTTCACTTGATTTTTTTTCTGACTTAAGTTCCTTTTTAGGTTAGTTTTAAAATCTATTGCTCAACTATTGCACAGATTTTACTTTTATAGGCTGTCTCTCTTTTTTTTCAGTGTCTCCATATTTATGATGCATATGTTTTCCTCTGGAGTGATTCCCATCATTAATCATCATACCAATATATGGAAATGATACAGTGGGTATTGTGAGTTGGTGCTAAGCTAGGAGTGAGAAGACCTGGCTCTGCGGCTGACTGGCATGACCTTGGGCAAATCACCCAAGATCTATGCCCATGCCTTCCTCATTTATAAAAGGACAGCACAGGTCATTCATACTTCAAGCCCATTCCAGCACTAACATTTTATAGGGAGCAGGAAGAAAAAGATTTATCAAACATTTCCAGTATAACATACAAAGTAGAGTGCAAGGCACTTCTTGTGTTTAATCTTTTAATCCTCATAACAAACCTGTGAGATTGGTATTATTGCACCCATTTTTAATTAATGAGGAAGCATGCTCAGAGGGATTATGCCAGTTGCCCTATAGCACAGAGCTAAATAGTGTTGAGCTTTGATCTAGATGAAAGACAGTTCAAGCATTATCTCTTCTAGAAAATCTTCCTTGATCCCTTAGTCTGGCCTGAATTCCCATTCTGGTGCTGTTGCAGCATTTAACACATTAAATTGAAATTGACTGTATACGGTCTGATAGTCTCCAGAACGCAGTTTCCTCTAGGGTAGTGACTATGCATTCGTTTCCTTTATATTTCCAGCATGAAAAACAGTGACCGGTGCATAGTAGGCATACTAATGTTTCTGAACTAAACTCATGATACAGCTCTCCAAATTAATATTGGCTGAGATGAACATCCTCAATGCAGTAGACCACGATGATCCCATCAATAAAATATTTCAACATTTTCTACTCTAAAGTTGATATTTGTCCTTTGCAAAATATGTGTTGATTGTTTTCTCCCCCTCTCTTCAATCAGCCTTTCCTCCATTCTCTTCTTCATTTTGAACGTTGTGGTGGATGTCTCTCATTTCTCCACGTAGTTCTTTTTGTGTCCTTTCAGTAGACAGGCAGCCTTGCTCCCTGTAGGATAAGAGGGCAAATTAGCTTCCAGAAGCCTGTCCTACCAAGCTGCTTGTGCCTGTGTGTATTTTTGTTGCTGCATCTACTGTTACGTTTCCTTCCTCGCTTTTTCTTTGTGTTTAAGAATCTTTTAGAAAAGGAGCAAAATGTGATGTCTGGCTACTCAATTTAAACCAGAGCTGGGTCCACTGGTTAACTGCAGAGGGTGTCTCCGTGGGTCAAAGCTACGGCTTCCTTTCCATGCCTTTCTTCTTCATTTAAAGACAGGAATTTAACATAAAAAGAAACTGACCTTCAAGCCCAAGAAGGTGACCTAGCTTTTGCGACACACGCAGGCTGAAAGATCATATTGCTGTTTTCCTGAGTTTCAAACAATAAAAGCACCGTTCTGGGGATTACCTTTCTAGATGGTGTTTTAAGTAGCAGTCATTGAACAAAAAAAAAAAAAAAAAAAAAAAATCAAACTGATAGGCTTTTATAACAGGAAATAATAAGAGCCAGGGTATCTATAATCCAGTCACTGAGAGAGTCTTTATTCCTACAATGCTGCCTGCTGAGAATTGTATTTTTCAATCCATCCAGGTGGGTTACAATGAGTCTAATTAATTTTATACACAAATGCTCAACCTCTAACCAAAAACAAAATGACTTCCTAGGGCTTTTCTTTTCCACTAATCTGAATTTTAGTAAGAAAAAGGGATGATTTACATATTAAAATACAAATTTCATTAAATAAAATAAAGTTTTTAAGGGGAAAATTATATCCCCATGCCCACTAAGATTAAAAAAAACAAGAACGAGGGGATTTTGAGTCTACTCTCTGTGTGTATTTAATTTAGAAGCAACTTAAGTGATGATTGACTGAGGCAAGGTGGCCTTGTAAGATATTTAGTTCCCTGTTACTTAAGGCATTCAAAAAAGTTGCATTGTGCATGGTTACCTACTGGCCATGATATTGTAAAGGGAAATAAAACATCAGTTGGGGAGTTGGATTAAATACCTTCCATTTTCCTTTTAGCCTCAGGATTTGATAAGGCCCAAATATTAGGCATAAATCTGTCCCTCTCAGCTAAAGCCAGATCGAACCTGGATGAGTATACAATGAATTCTACCTTCTGTGATAATTTCCCCTAGGGCTACACTATCTGCTTGACTAACAATAATAGGGCCCCAGCTCTCTGACACTACAGGCAACAGCGTAGCTGCTGGATGGGAGTGGAAATATTCTATTACTGATAAGACCTGTTCACTGTTTGCAAAAATGGTGATTCACCTTTGGTAATAATTACTTTGGCTCACCTTAATATTTTGGAATTTACTTAAAATAATATTCCACTTCCCTCAAATATGTTCTTATCATTCTTTTTTTCCAAGACCTTGGTCCTTTTTGAGAAAACAACTAATATTTTATCCTCGAGTTGCTAATTCTTATTTATGGTCTATAGTAAGTAATAGGAGTCCCCCACCGAAAATACTTTATTCAAAGAAACAGTAATCCTGAGTGCAATGCACACTTTTTATGATTATTCATTTGCTCTTTTGATGAGATCTTTGAAGGATGTTTGTAGACCTCAGTATCTTTGTTAGTTTGTTTGTTTGCTTATTTAGAAAGTCAGGAGTTCAACTCTGCTTTTACAGTAAATGATATAATTTTTCTTCAAACTTTATAAAACAAAAACAAAACATGATAAAAGACAAATTTGTAAAAATTAGTTGATATGTTGGAAATAGATGTATTTCAATCCTCATTTATTTAGCCTTAGTGTTCAAATTGATCAAAAATGAAAACTAATGTGATGAGATGTATGGATAAAACTGTATGCTTGACTGCCCCTGCAGACATGATGTCATTCTAAGCCCTCCTCCAATTATAACATTGAGTTAGCACAACTCTTTCCATGGCCCTGGAGCATACTGGGAGATGGAGCACTGCCCACCTGGTCATTCAATATCTGTAGAATCTTCAGCATCCCTCACTCTGGAGACCCAAGAGGATACTGCTCTATTTTAGTTTTTATTGCACTATTGTTTTGAAATATTCAGCCCCATGATCACAGACCATATGTGAAGTAGAGAAAGAATTTATTATTTATTTTGTCAGTCCCTATATTTAAAGGTTTTGTAGCATGTTGGAAATTCTGGCAACAGCCTTTTGTATAATTAGTTGCTTCATCCTTCAGAGCTAATGGTATGGGTTTGAGGCCAGAGTGAGGCTGTTTATGAGATATATTTCCTCCCCTGGTGCTTCATCAGAAGCTGTCCCTCTCATCAGGGTATTTGTCAGAGTAATTTTTGTCAGGTCTTTCATAAAAAGGGAAAATATTAAGGGCAGTGTGAAAGAACCAACCAGAGCATGATCAGCTCAGGGTGTATTGAATACATTCCTCCCGCTTTTATTGTTGGGAGGAGGGAGATAAGAGAGAGGCAAGTGAGGACAAAAAGAACTTAAATGTAATTTTTTAACCTAATTTCTTTTAAAAACATGTAATAAATTAATACCAGCAATATGATTACTGGGAATTTTACATCCTTGAGGTGAATTATAACTTCCATCATCATATTTTGTAAGACAAAATCATATTTGAGATGAGCATTCTCACTTTTTTCCTCCAAGTCAGACTCATCTCATTCCCAGAGGCCATTGTTTATAATAAAGTCAAAACAATCTTATGAAGTTGATTACTTAAATCAAACTTCTTTAGGTCTCTTTTTTGATTTCCCTTTGATAGTAAATATAATCAGAACTTCAAAGGGTAGCCCAGGGAAGAGAGAAAATTATCTAGGAATGTGTACAGTGTAAACTAGGGAAGTCATCAGACATCATTCAATTACATTTGAGAAACAAAATAGAGGGATCAAAATTGCTTCCTTCTGTGGTTGGTCCTAAACTAAACACATATCTCTTTTTAACAATGTTAGATTATTTGAAAATGCTATTGAAAAACCTGAGGTTATAAGCTGAAGATTTTACAGCCACAGTTGAGCCTCTGTCCTACTTTTGCATTTCCAGTCTTTACAGTGGCACCCAACTCTTTTCCTCCACTCCTCTGATATGGTTTGGCTGTTTCCCCACCCAAATCTTATCTTGAATTGTAGCTCCCATAATCTCTATGTGTTGTGGGAGGGACCCTGTGGGAGGTAATTGAGTCATGCTGTTCTAGTGGTAGTGAGTCAGTCTCATGAGAACTGATGCTTTTTTAAAGAACAGTTCCCCTACACAAGTTTTCTTGCCTGACACCGTGATAAGATGTACATTTGCTCCTTCTTTGCCTTCCACCATGATTGTGATGCCTCCCCAGCCATGTGGAACTGTGAGTCAGTTAAACCTCTTTTTCTTTATAAATTATCCAATCTTGGGTATGTCTTTATTAACAGCATGAAAACAGATGAATACATCCTCCTTGCCTAAGTGCCTGATGTTTGGGATTCTTTACAAAACTCTTGCTGTCTTCCCTCTAGTGAGCAAAAACTCTGCTTTTCTTCCTAGTGAGTTTCTGTTTTCCTCAAAAGTACCCATCAAATCTAACTGCACATTGGCTCTGGGGATCAGTCTCACCTCATCCCTCTGTGTTCTCTTTGGTTTAGAATCCTTTTCTCTGCCCTGGACCATGGTTAAATACGGTTCTTGGGAATGCCTTCTCCAGAGAGGACATACCCAAGAGCCCAGGACCCCTGCACCAGAGCCGGGCTATGCTGTTGTGCTCTGGATCTCTTCATATTAAAAGGTGCAGCCCAGAACCTCACCTGATGACCCCACCAACAATGCATATTCCTCGATGTAGTTTTTTTTGTTTGTTTTTGTTTGTTTGCTGTTGTTGTTGTTATTCTGCTGCATGTGACTCTTGATAGAATGAGTAGTCCATCTCTTGAGGCCTCTTAGTATGTAGCTATGCTTGTACTTCTCAATGGTTGTGTGTATGTCAAACATGTCCTTCACTGTTATAACACTTTTATTTCTCTTTATTGGGATTTACACTTGATATTTTCAGGTCTCCAAATACAGTCACTAGCCTAATGACTCCTACCAAGAACATGTGTAGTTCATATGTGACATTCTTCCTGATTTATAGGCTTTATGAATTGCAACCACTAGCCAAAATCATATGATTTTGAATTTTTCTCTAGACTAGTACAATTAAAAATGTGGTCTGTGGATAGATTCTGATCTGCCAACTGAGTATTACTACTTAAAAATGAGATGAGAATCTTACATCAGAATGTAAATCAGCACCCTGCTTCCTTCATCAAATAAGTTTTGCTACTAAAAAAATCAGCTGGCCGGGCATGGTGGCTCACACCTGTAATCCCAGCAATTTGGGAGGCTGAGGTGGGCGGATCACGAGGTCAGGAGATCGAGACCATCCTGGCTAACATGGTGAAACCCCATCTCTACTAAAAACACAAAAAATTAGCCAGGCGTGGTGGCGGGCGCCTGTAGTCCCAGCTACTCAGGAGGCTCCACCGGGAGGTGGAGCTTGCAGTGAGCCGAGATCCTGCCACTGCACTCCAGCCTGGGTGACAGAGACAGACTCCGTCTCAAAAAAAAAAAAAAAAAAAAAAAAAAAAAAAAAAAAAAAAAAAAAAAATCAGCTGAACTGAATTAAAAAGACGCATGCAGTAGTCCTCTCTTATTCACAGTTCTGCTTTCTGCAGTTTCAGTTACCTGTGACCAACTGAGGTACAAAAATATTAAATGAAAAATTCCGGAAGTAAACAATGTGTAAGTTTTAAATTGTGCACCGTTCTAAATAGTGTGATGAAATCTCGCTAGCACCATCCCGCTCCATCCCACCCGGGACATGAATCATCCCTTTGTCCAGTGTATCCACACTGTACACACTCCCTGCCCATTGGTCACGCTGTAGCCCTCTCACTATCAGATCAACTGTTGCATATAGTAGATATAGGGTTTGGTACCATCAGTGGCTTCAGGCATCCACTGATATTCTTGGAACATATCACCCATGGATAAGTGGGGACCACTGTAGTTGGCTTACTTTCTGGCACATGCTCCTTATGATATAAGGGACTGGTACAAACAGTTCTGGAACCAACAATTTGTGTAGAACTGCTGTGGATAATTTATGTATGAGAAAGTTTCTTCTAGCTTACAAAATTATTTATCTTTTCAAGGAAACTGGGCCAAGGCTGTCACCTCTCCTACTTAGTTCTCTTCATCCACACCACATACTTTCCTAGCTTTTCAGAGACATAGGAATGTCTGTCAGGGCATAAGAAGTCATCTGTGAAACTCTTGGATGTCTTTTAAAAATTCTCGTTTTACTCCTCTGAAGTAAGAACTATCTTCAGAATTGGCAGTTCAAGCTTAAATGTTTTTAACACTATTACATCCCTTGAAAGAGTCAAAAGACAAAAAAGATTTATATATATATATATATATATATATATATATATATATATATATATATATAGAATAAACGGTTATATTAATCCATACGTTCCCTTTTTCTCTTTCCTATTGCAGAAGTATTACCAAATGATTACTTAATTATGAGTATCTTAAAACACAGCATGGAATTGTGTCTGAGTTTATAAATGACTGAAATATATGAAGTTTATTATTGTGATCATGTCGTAATCTAAAAAAAACACCTGACTTAAGATTGACTTAAGATTAAGATAAATCTAACACCTAAAGTGATTAAAGGGAAAACAGACTTTGTGGACTACAACTATATTAAATATAAAGTAGAATGTGCACGTATATTTACGATGCTTTGAAATCTCTGCATCTGCTCCTTGTTTTCAATATCTTGCCTTCTTGAATTTTGTAACAAGATGATAATATGACTGAAATTTATATATGTCCAGGCAGGCGTTCAGCCACATAAAAATTCATTATTCTGATCTAAATAAATAAAAGTGCAAAGAAAATTATACTCCAGTTTATTTCTCCATAAAAATATGAAAGCCTGGTAATGTATTAAGCATAAAAATACATTACTATGGGTTGTTACTAAATTTATCACTTTTAAGTGAGTGCATCTCTTTGTACTCCTATGTCAGATCAGTGACTCTGCATTTTGATTTGCATCATTCTTCGGAAGAGATTTATCATCTGCTTGTTTTTTTCTGCTCAATCTTTCTATTTCTGCATTGTACAAGCCACTTAGAAACACCAACAAAATAAGATTCTTGAAACTAATCTGGGTTGCTAGCATAAGTCAGTTTATAGAATCCTCAAATAGCTAAGACCACGTCAAGACCAAGTGGTCTTGGTATCTCTGACCAAGTCTCTCTGACTTCAGGTGGACGAAAATGGGCAACCTTCTTTTACATTGATCATGCACAGAGTGTTTAACACAGGTGGTATTGTTGATTGAGGCTGAAAGAAAGACCATAGGGCTTCATAGCTAGCTTTAAGTAAAAATTTTTCCTGTCCCCACCCTGTTTCTCATTTTTACAGCCTTAACTACTATCAGGAATCTTGAGGATCTTCAAAGCAGACTCCTGAAGCATTTACTGAGGATAACAAAAGTAAATAATATAATCATTTCTTTCTTCAAAATACCCTCATGGCCAGATCTTTCTCATTCTTCAAGACTAGCTTGCATGTCAGTTCCCCCCATATATTCCTTCTCTGACCAATCTATCTAAAGTCATCTCACTGTTTTTTTTAATTTTTTTTATTTTTTCTCTACCATTGCCACCCATCATTTCCTTCAAGGCACTTACTAAAATGATTGTTTTTGTTTATTTATTTATTATATGTCCCTTTCTGAAAAATACAAACTCCATGAGGACAGTGAGCATGTCTTTTTAATTTTTTTAACCTCAAGGCCTAGCACAGTGTCTGACATGGATTAGAGACTCTAATAACTTTGAAAGTTGATGACTAAATGAATGAATGAATGACTTCTATATGTGTGAGCTTGTCTTTGTGGTAACCTGATGAGTTTAGAAAGAGTGTTAGATCATTTAAAAACATGGCAGAGGGGAATGGAAAGTGCATTTTGAAAATCCTTGCATTACCCTCATCACATGATACAAAGGCAGCAGTTACATTCCTTGTCCCTTTCTACCAGGTAATATTGAACTGGAAGTTAGCTTCAGTTGTGTCTCTGAATTGTTCAATCAATGTATTTTGGTTTTGGTATTTATTAAGAGAGGTTCTGATCATCAAGAAGCAAAAAGTATATGTTCTCTTACCTCCAATACAAGTAAATAAGACAGTTCTAAGGCAGTCTATTTGCAAAGTAAGTTGTGTCTTTCTTAATAACACTCAAAATTTTTTTAAAAGCTTGAATATGAGTTATTGTTCACAGATATGGGGTAGGTCACACAGTAAGGCTTTTATTTGAATTAAATGGGAATGAACTGTTTGTTTCTTTAAGTGAAATAGAAGGTTTAGTTGATTTCATCTTCAGTATTATTAACTGCTAATCTTCTTTAAGAATTATACAGGAAAGAGCAACAGCAATTAATATCTCAGATGTAAAAAACATAAACTTGTGGATAAAACTGTGAAAAATAGTCAAAAAATTTTAAAATGTTGATCATGTCTCTTTACTGAGGTAATATATTCAAGAGGAAGTGAACATTTTGTGATAAGAATACAGCCTTAGGTCATTAGTTATTTCAAAATACTATGTGGGAACCTCAACTATAAGCAACCCCAGAACTAGGTTTGAAATTAGTGTTAAAAGCTTGATCTCCTTCCCGAAGCCATGTAGTAAGAAGCAATGCATGAGAGAAGCTATGAAAGGTGGGAAGAAGAGAGACCAAGGTGAAATCCAGACTGAATCAAAGTGGCCGTTCAGGTTGATGCTGGCTGGGACTTTGTTGTAATGACATTTAAAATGACTAATGTTTCAACAGTTAGGCAGACATATTGGTGAAATAGTTATGACACTTTCTAAATTGATCTGTAGATTTGACACAGTTCCAAAATACTTCAACGAGGCTCTTTTTTTTTTTTTTGGTAGAAATCGAGACGCTAATTCTAAAATACATGTGAAAACACCAAGAAATATTTACTAGAATATGTAAAACAATCTTAAAAAAACCCCAAAGTTTGAGGATTAATACTACCTTAATTTAAGATTATTATAAAGCTACAGTTGTTAGAAGATGTGGTCCAGACATGAAGAAGGATATATAGATAAACAGAACAGAATGGAATAAAGAACTCAGAAATAGACCTCCACTGACTTGGTTAACTTTTAATGAAGGCATCACAGTAATTCAATATAGAAAGAAAAATCTTCTCCACAAGTTGTATTAGAACAACTAGATGTGAATATGAAAATAAAGGAGTCTTAACCCCTACCTACACAAAAAAATAATTGAAGAAGGATCAATTAATTGGATGGGATAAGACTAACCAAAAATTGAAAAGTGTAAAGCCAGAATAGAAGAATATCTTATGAATTATGCATAGTTAAAATTTCCTAGACAACACAAGGAAGGAATAACCACAAAAAAATGATAAATGAGAATCCACCAAAATTTAAAACTTTTGTTTATCAAAATATACGATTGAGAAAATGAATTGACAACCTGCAGACTAGAAGAAAATATTTGTAAGACATACCATGCTGAAAATGACTAGAGTTCAGGTACACTGAAAATACTGAAAATTTAACAATAGAAAGATAAACAACCCAATAAAATATGGACAAAAGAGTTGAACAGCCACTTTACTAAATAATGTGTACAGATGGCTAATAAATGATAAAAACATTGATCTTCATTCATCTTAACTAATTTTTAGGGAAATGCAAATTAAAACCATGATGAGATACCACTACATAACCAAGCAAATAGCTAAAATTAAAAAGACCAACTGTCCCAAATATTGGAGAGGATGTGAAGCAAATGGGATCTTATATGTTACTGAAGCAAGTGTAAAATGTTACAATCACTTTGCAAAATGACCTGACAGTATCCTATAAAACTAAGTATACATCAACTTTATTGTCTATCAATTCTACTCTCAAGTGTTTTCTCAAAATAAGTGAAAGTGTATGCCCACAAAGCAATTTCTCCAAGAGTGCTCCTAGCAGTTTTATTCATAACAGCCAAAATATGTAAACAGCTCAGAGGTTCATCAAGCCTAGTATATTCATACAATGAATTGAACACAGCTCAGCAATAAAGAAAAGTGAACTATTGATACAGAGAAAATCTGGGTGAATCTCAAAAATATATTGAGAGAAAGATTTATACAAAAGAGAACATACTGTATGGTTCCATTTATATGAAGTTCTATTGTAGGCAAAACCAATCATGGTGAAAAAAGAATCAGAGCTATGGTGACTCTGGTGTGAGTTTGGAGAGAGAGACAGGGATTTACTTGGAAGAGACATGAGGGAAATTTGGGGGAGGATAGTAATAATTGATATTATGGTAAGAATTGGATCCACTTAGGTGATATGTATTTGTCAAAATCAATCAAGTGGTTTGCTTTTCATTTACCACAATGAAATATATTAATCTTACTCCACGCAAACAAATGAAAACTTCACATGTACATGAAAGCTTGGTTTCCTATACAATAGTATTTCCGAATCTAAGCCTTACATGAGCATCAGTGTATCTATAACCCCTTGACATTTAATGTAAACTTTGGAAAGAAGGATTAACAGTCAAGTGTTCAGGTGGAACTTCATCTTTTATGACCTCCTGCACAAATTTTAAGAAACACCAAGTGCAATGTTCTTTCAGATTAATAAAATGTTTTATAAATATATTTTAAATATAAATACTATTAAATTTTATTTTGGAATTTATTCAGGTATTTTTTGGCATCATACTTTAGGGTTTTTTATATTAAATTTATAGTAATGATTTACCCATCAATAATTTATGAATAACCATTCTGATGTTTTCCCCGATATCAATTCTTAAGGTACTGGATAGGCATACATTTTTGATGTTTACTCTGCTAGCTAAAAAGACAGTTAATATTATAATTATTTATAGATAATGCTCAAAGATTCAAAAATTAAATTACTCCAAGTCAGTATAGGATGTTGTTGTTTGTTGAAATGTTTTTATTAGGTTATATTGCCCATCAACCATCATTCGTAAATTATCTATTTTACCTTGAGCTCTGACTCTAATTATAATTGCTAAATGTCTGTGTTCACAAAAAGTCAACTATGTATATGTACTTTATGCATTCTGAGTTTAGTAAGAATCATTGAGGCTGCAATTAGTATTTAGTAATGAATTCCAGAAAATACTTTTCAACTACTAAAACTTGTTAAAAATTATGATGTTTTATAATTAATAAAGAATATTAGGTTTGTAAAAGCTCTTTGTTAACCTCACTTACCAATTTGCATTTAATTGTCTCTAGTTTTTTGATACCCATGATATACTAACTTTAAGAATTCAAAGTCGGCCGGGCGCCGTGGCTCACGCCTGTAATCCCAACACTTTGGGAGGCCGAGGCGGGCGGATCACGAGGTCAGGAGATCGAGACCATCCTGGCTAACACGGTGAAACCCCGTCTCTACTAAAAATACAAAAAAATTAGCCGGGTGCAGTGGTGAGCGCCTGTAGTCCCAGCTACTCGGGAGGCTGAGGCAGGAGAATGGCGTGAACCTGGGAGGCGGAGCTTGCAGTGAGCCGAGATCGCGCCACTGCACTCCAGCCTAGGCGACAGAGAGAGACTCCGTCTCAAAAAAAAAAAAAAAGAAAGAAGAAGAATTCAAAGTCATGTAATTGGATTGTAAAAATGCAGATGCAGGCTGGGCACGGTGGCTCATGCTTATAATCCCAGCACTTTGGGAGGCCAAGGTGGGTGGATCATCTGAGGTCAGGAGTTCGAGACCAGCCCAGCCAACATGGCAAAACCCTGTCTCTACTAAAAGTAAAAGTTACCAGGATGTGGTGGCACGCACCTGTAGTCCCAGCATCTCAGGAGGCTGAGGCAGGAGAATTCCTTGAACATGGGAGGTGGAGGTTGCAGTGAGCCAAGATCATGCCACTGCACTCCAGCCTGGGTGATAGAGTAAGACTCCGTCTCAAAACAAAACAAAACAAAAAAAAAAAGCAGATGCCAAATCAGTGCCCTTATATTATCCAAAAAAAAAAAAAAAAAAAAAAAAAAAAAAGATGGCATAATTAGATCAGGAAAAAATAACCAAAATACATTATTTTTTCTATACTTCATAAAATAGCTGTTATTGACATATCAAGGATAATACAATTGATCTTTTCAGAGAATGCAAGAAAAAAAGATACCTGTGTTCATTATTTAAAGTGGTTACAAGCATGAAATATTTGATTTGAATGAATTATATTTAATGGTAGCCTATGACTGGATATCATGCCTACAGATCTGATCAATGTCCAAATGCTGTAATGCTTAAGCAAAAGGGCAAATTTAGGTGGATTCCATATTCTATTTCACCTTGTATTAAAACTATGACCATCAATTTCAGTGCAGCGCCATATTTGATCTTAATAGTAACATGATTTTAAAGGTCAGCTTTAGCTATGCCCATAAAAATGTTAGGGAACAAGAAATGGTTTGATTAAGTTAGATTTTCATTTGATTTTTTTAAGTAAAATTTTTAATCATGTAAAAATACATCACTCTATTCCTATTTTGTTTTGTGACTAGCTAAATTACCTGCTTACGAAACTCTAATTGCTTTAAACGGCCACACTATTGAAAAGCTGTTAAATGAGTAGTATATTAGTGATTCATTAGTTGTCATGAATAGGGATCTGTTTAAGCATAATACACTCATGAAATAGTATAGACACTGGAGTGAAAGTCCTCGGAAAGTGAGTCTAATGAAAGATCATTGAGTTTCCAATGGTGATAGGTTCCTCTGGCTCTTTATCTTCCTACAGAATTCTGATTGTCTCATGAAAAAATTGTGTCTCACCTGTCATAATGAAGATTGCAGTTATCCTTCCTAATTATCTGTGTGGGGTCAAATAACCTATATCTCTATGACTTGCAATCCTTTTCCAGCATTTAAGGACCTCCATGATATCTCCTACAGTTCTAGTACCTAGTAATGTGTTAAAAAAAAAAAAAATTCTGCAGGCCTGGCATGGTGGCTCACGCCTGTAATCCCAGCACTTTGGGAGGCTGAGTCTGGTGGATCACGAGGTCAGGAGATCGAGACCATCCTGGCTAACATGGTAAAACCCCATCTCTACTAAAAATTCAAAAAAATTATCTGTGGTGGCCCTCGCCTGTAGTCCCAGCTACTCAGGAAGCTGAGGCAGGAGAAGTGCTTGAAACCAGGAGGCGGAGGTTGCAATGAGCTGAGATTGCGCCACTGCACTCCAGCCTGAGCGACAGAAAAAAAAAAAAGATACTAATAATAAATTCTGCAAAGTAGAAAGTATGTATTCATTAACCTACAGAGATCATGTGTGTACGGTTCATCCTTAGGCAAAGGAAATCAATTGACAGACTGACACTACTACTGCTAATAATAATGATGGTTCTTATTCATAAAACTCTAATCAAGTATAACTTAGACTGGTGTCACTTAAGTTAGATATAAACATCACTCACCATAATAAAAACTATATTGCTTTTTTTTATTATTATTATTTTAAGACACACTGCAATATCTTGGCAACAAACAATGCATTAGTCCGTTCTCCTGCTGCTATAAGGACATATATGAGACTGGGTAATTTATAAGGGAAAGAGATTTGATTAACTCATAGTTCCACAGGGCTTGGGAGGTCTCAGGAAACGTACAGCCATGGTGAAAACATCCTTCTTCATGTGGTGGCAAGGAGACACAGAAATGAGTGCCCAGTGAAGAGGGAAGCCCCTTATAAACCCATCAGATCTTGTGAAAGCTTACTCACCATCATGAGAACAGAATGGGGAAAACCACCCCCATGATTCAATTATTTTTCACCTGGTCCCTCCCATGATTCATGGGGTTATGGGGACTATTTGATTGGTGCGAAAGTAATTGTGGTTTGTGCCATTACTTTTAATGGCAATTACTTTTGCACCAACCTAATCCAATTCAAGGTGAGATTTCGGTGGGGACAGAGCCAAACCATGGCAACACAAACTTCTTTGAAATAAACAATTATCAAAAGAAGGCAGTTTATTTCTAGCTTTAGTTGTTTACTATACATATTTTAGAACAGTTATTAGCACATTATAAATGTGCTCTAGGCAGAAAGAAGAAAACTGAAATTCTTAAGAAATTTTTGTCATTTTTAATGTTTCTTTTCATTTTAGATTAATAGGTAGCTGAGGCATCTATACAAAGCAATTTCAAAAGTATAACTGGTATGCATGCTTTTCAGCAGCTGAGATATAGAAAAAACAAACATTTCTCGATAGCATTCTATTGCTATGATGAAACTCAGAACTGCTCTGTAATTCAATTATCAGCATAAAATTTTTCACTTTCATTGGCAAACACTTTACTCTAATTTTTATCTTGCAACTGGACATATTTTGATATAATTGGACTTCATATTTACTATAGTTATGGTAATGCTGTGCCAAGATGCCAACTGGAGAAAATACCCAATTGTGTCCTACCCCTCCATTCCTACTTATTTTCTTCCCTTTAAATTAGATATGAAGTGGAATGAGGCGATGTCTCAGCTACTGTTTGAGGTCAAAATCTATTTGGGCAGTCACTTTATTTATTTATTTATTTTTTGGCATGTGTTAATTCATTAGGCTCTTAGCTTGGGAGGACTAGAGATTAGCTCTATAAGGCTAGAAAATAAGACACAGAAATTTAGTGCTAGAGTAACTGGTTCACTTGCAACTACTATTTGATGAGAAGAAACGTCTGTGATATTAACTAAGGGAAGGAAAGTGCTGGGCAAGATGTCAGAGTTTGGTTTTACTCTCATCATGTATGTGTGTGTCTCATGCATGTGTGTGTGCATGTGTCTTGTGTGTGTGTGCATGTGTGTGTGTGCATGTGTTGGGGGTGTATGGTGTGGGATGAGTGAACTATTAACAGACAGCCTAACCTGAAATTGTTAGTTGAAAGGAAGGCCAAAGTTGAAAAAGATATTCAGTAGTAGATTGACATCTCACAGATCATAGCCTGTGTTGATGTATTCATTTATTTATTAATTCAACCAACTCCTATTGAATACTTACCACGAACCATCTCTGTGCTAGACATTTGTAATAGAAAGATGAATACATGATTTTTTAAAGACACTTCTAATGGAGAAGATAAGTATTTGAACACTTGCATTTCGTACATTACATTATGTTGATGCTGACATAATAGCATGAGCAAGATGCTTTCAGAGTACAAGGAATGAGCACCAGGCTTAAGCTGGAAACTCACAGAGATCATTCTAAAAGAGATGATTACAGCTGATATTAAACCCAGAGGTAACAATATATGTCCAAAAAATGCATGCCAAATTAATGACCTAGAAGAGATACAGAAGGCTGCAGGGTAGAACAGTGGAGAGATGCAGTAAGAGATGGAACTGGAGGAGTGAATAGGGCAAGACTATATGGGCCTTGTAGGTCCTAATGAAGATCAATATTCTAAAGTCTAAGACAAATGCAAATGGAAAGATTTGCATTTTAAAAAGGTCCCTGTAGCTGAAAGTTAGAGAAAAGATTAGATCAGACTAGAACTGGAGACCGAGGGCCAGTTAGAAAGTTGCTTTCCTAATCCAAATTAGCACTAAATAAGTATCAATGGCGAGGGAGATAACAGAGTGAGTTTGGGAAATGTTACTGAGGTATAATTGATTGCAGTTATTGATTAATTGAATAGAAGGTAAGATATAGAGAGAAGTGAACGATGATGCTTAGATTTCTCTCTTGCATATGCTACCAGTTCCTGAGACTGGGAATATAGGCAGGCTTGGAGTGTGGCTGGGAAAGACAGAGCTCTACTGTGGTAGGACATTTTAGGATTCTGGAAAATGTACTAACAAAAGCCAGTCATTCAAAATGGAAGTCTGATTATCTGAAGAGATTCATTTAAAAGGATAATACTAAAAATATATATATAAAAAAAAAAACCAAAAACATCTCGTAGGATATTTTACAGATAGGCAACTGGCTCATATATACTTCTTATTTTCTTTCTACCCCTTCTCTTTTTCTTTAAATGTATCAAAGAACAGAAATGTCAAAGAGCATAGAAAGGAAAGGATAGCAAGGAGGACTGGATAGATGGAAAATAGGCAGTTATCTGGTAGAGAGAAGAAAACAGTGGTTTAGTGCCTAAGAGAGCAGCATTTGAATCCAAGTGCTGGCAAATATTTACTTTATAGCTTTGGCTACCTTGACATTTCTAGATCCACTTTATCTGTAAATTAGTGTTGGCCTGTGGCTCTCTGTGAATCCTTCTAGCTCTACGAATTTCTGATTATGAAAGGGAAGAGTGGAAAAAGTGAGAAAGTTTAATAGAACCAGGAAGCAAGCAAAGAATCCCTGAGCTAGAGCTATGTCATATGCTTCCAATAATTTAAAATGGCAAAAACAATATACAACAGCCGTTTAATGATAATTTTCCCTAATAAATGGGTTAAGGAGGGAGAGGATTTGAGGATCAGGGACTGAGTACAGGGATGATGAGATGGGTAGAGGACGTGGGGAGGATGCTAGGCAACATGTGTTAGTTTTTTTATTTTGCCTACATAGTGACACTCGGAGACTCTGGAGTGATGAAATCCTTCAAGGTGGAAGTGACAACTTTGTAGACTCTGGGACAATATCTCGTAATGTACCCTTAATTATTTCCTGTCATCTAAAGTACAAATTTGCTATAATTCAGGTTTCTTCCAAATAACTTATACCAGCATAGTTGTTTCAGTGAGGATTTTTAATCTGGTCACAAGTGGAAAGAAAAGCCAAAATAACAGCAGCTTAAGATAGAAGGACCCTGGGTTATTGAGTACGTTATGGAGCATGGCCAGCACACTAGCCCTGAAGCCCATATTTTTATCATGCTAAAATTGGGATGTTAATATCTACCATTTCTCTCTGATGTGCATTGATGATTGCTCTATCCTGTCCTGTCCACAGTTCACTTGGCAGACTCAAGGAGAAGGTGAAAAGAGTATACTGTTTTCCTCAGTGGCAGCATCTAGACATCGCACACACTGCTTCCACACTAATGTCACTTCCACCCTCTTGGCCAAAACTTAGCCATGGCAACACCAAGCCCTAAAGGAGGTTGAACAATATCTTTATTGGAGTAGTTATATGCTTGCTAAAATGTTTGGATTCTATTAATAAAGGCAAAATAGAAGAAAGATAGTAGAGGAAACTGGTATTCTCTGCTCTTTGAGTCATAACTTTAAATTCAACTGGAACTACTGGGCATATATATATATATATATATATATAGACACACACACACACCACACACGCACACGCACACACACAGACACATATATATATATATATCTTACTCTAAGTGAGCCTCTTGGTTAAATTATTTTAAAATCATTTTCTAAGGATATCAGTATGACAAGTATGATTTTTCAGTCAAAATAATCAGTAACTTTTAAAGAATAAAATGAACAAAAGAACTTATTAATCATAAACAGAAAAAAAATCTATTGTTACCAAGTTTGTCTACTAAAATATTTCCTCAACTTCTATAGCAGTGGTGTACAATCTTTTGACTTCCCTGGGCCGCACTGGAAGAAGAATAATTGTCTTGGGCCACACATAAAATACACTAACACTAATAATAGCTGATGAGCTAAAAAAACTAAAAACTGCAAAAAAAAAATCTCATAATGTTTTACGAAACTTTATGAATTTGTGTTAGGCTGCATTCAGAGCCGTCCTGGGCCTGTGGGTTGGAAAACATGCTGCCCACGGGCTGCAGGTTGGAAAAGCTTGTTGTATGGCATTATTGCAGACCTTAAAGTTTATAATCAGTTAATCCCTGTGTTTGACAGATTGACTTTTAGTTTTTCTAAACCCTTAATTCTTCACACAAGCTAAGAGGACTCAGCTCTGCAATCTATTTACAAATATCAAGCTCTCTTTTCCAAAACAAAATTGTAGTACCAAAATATTCATCACTACTAAATTAAGATGTTTAGTCAATATCTAGATAAATTTCTATGTGTTTTATATTAACAAAAATAGATTTAGACATACTGGCTCCTACAAATGCTAGGTTTGGTTGTTCTTGATTGATTTTCCTAAGGCAAATTGCTTTTATATATTAAACAAGTGAGATTTCCTGATTCTTCATATTATCATTTTGTTGTAAATTTTAATGCCAGTGTATTAGCTAGAAAGTGAAGATTAAAAGGTGTTATATTTGTCCATGTTGCTATATTGGCTCTGAAATAAGTTAATGGCACTAAATTTTATTTGCAAATAAATTGTCTTTCTTTAATGGAGATTGTGGAAGAGGCCCCGACATGGATTATTTTGTGCCTAATTTTTGCATCTGGTTTTGGCCAAGAAAGTTCTGTGGGCTCAGCATTTCATGCATCTTCTGCATTTTTACAGCTTCTGATCCAGCACTAGCTATACAGTTGTTTAGAAAATAATTATCTTGATTTCCAAAGGTGCTTCCCAGATCCTGAAAAGATAGCCTTAAGTTGCAAGAAATTAGAAAAGAAGTAAAAGAAAGGACAAATAAAATAAATGAAGACATATGCAAAAAGGTCTCCAAACAGCATCTAGACTTGGTGAGGAACATTCCCTGACAATTGTCTTATTATTGACTATTTCTCCCATTCCTTTCATTGGAAAGCTGGATGATGTACCCAGATGACCAGCTCTCTTTCACTTGAACTAATACAAAAGCTTCATTTTGGAAGATCATTTTCTTTTGATTGCCTTCTGCTGCCCACGATTTTCCCAGAATGTGGTTCTAATCCTAAAGCAGAGTGTACTGCCCTGCTCAGGGTCAGCTTAAGTTATAGACATTGTAATGGTGCAATCTTCTTTAATCCATAAAAAGACCAAATCAATGTCAGAAAGATATAACATGTAGCATTAAAAAAATGCATTCATTCCCAAAGCTATTGAAAAGCAAAGATAGGTCTAGAGGTAATTCATAGCACACTTACAAGTTGACAGAAAAAGTGATAGCAACCTCAGTTATATTCTCCCTGGCCCTGATCTCAAATGGATTTACTTGATTCCAGCTAATTGGATGTGAACAGCAAAGCAGGAGTAAGGCAGTGAGCAAAAAAATCTTATCAGTTGCTGTAGCTGTTATAAGCAAGGAAGCGCAATTTCCTGATTGCTGAGAAAGAGCCTGCGTAAATCTTGGTGACGTATTTTATATCCCTGCTAATGAAATGTGTTTTAGTAATCTAACTCTACTGTTACCTTGGTCTTGGCCATAATGCAATGCTGCTATGTATTAGAAGTTTGTGTTTGTTAAGAGCATCAAGTAGCTATCAGAAAGTTAAACTTTGCTAGCGAGCGTGTTTTCTCTGTTGAAAATATTTGAGATAGTGAGTTGTTCTATGAGTATTATTTTAAGGGAGGGGAGTGTTCTGGGAGGGCAAAGGGAGTTGGGCTCAATTGACCACTGAATTAAGGAACAAAATGATAAAGATCCAAAAGGAAATGAATCAATACTGAAGAAATCAATCACAAGGGCAGTGGAACGTGGTGGAGGCTCTTACCTATCAGGGTTTGAGGGCTAGTTTGACATTTTTTAGCTGTTTTACAATTGGAATCTACTCTACCTCCCTAGCCCGTCTTTTTTTTTTTTCTCTAGAGATTTTTTAAAAAAGTATATATATATACTTTAAGTTCTAGGGCACATGTGCACGATGTGCCGGTTTGATACATAGCATACATGTGCCATGTTGGTTTGCTGCACCCATCAAATCGTCATTTACATTAGGTATTTCTCCTAATGCTATCCCTCCCCCAGCCTCCCACCCCCTCCGGACAGGCCCCCGTGTGTTATATTCCCTGCCCTGTGTCCAAGTGATCTCATTGTTCAGTTCCCACCTATGAGTGAGAACATGTGGTGTTTGGTTTTCTGTCGTTGTGATAGTTTGCTGAGATGATGGTTTCCAGCTTCATCCATGTCCCTGCAAAGGACATGAACTCATCCTTTTCTATGTCTCTAGCCCATATTCTTTTCCTTTAAATTTGTTTCTAATGGTAACTACTTTATAGGGTTATTATGATGATTAAGTGAGATTATAAACCCTAGGCTCCCTCATGGTAGGTACTGAACAAATGCTACTCAATGCAACCAAGCCTAGTGTTCAGCATGAATCGTGTTATGTGTTTTGTTCCTAGAGTTTAACCTTTATAACTGGCATAATCAGCTATAACCAAACATAATCAGCTACTTGAAATGCAAAGCTGATTGTTTCCCTTGGAATTCAGGAAGAATTTACGTCAAGAGATTTTTCTAACAAAGTGAAAGAATGTTGCCAATCCTGATCTGATGTACCAAAATTACTGGATCTAAGAAGTCACAGTAATGCTGCTCTTGCACACAAGTGCATGTCAGCCATCATTACATTTTCAGTTATTTGGTCTAGGTCCACAAATTGGGATTCTGCAAAGGCACTTTGTCCTACCTTAGACAGTTTACAACATAGACATAACCCACTAATAAAGAAGACGATAACATTTTTTACTATGTGCCAAAGATCATTTGAATTAATATGTATATATTTGGTTATACATAACTTATTGTATAAAAAATATATAAAGTTTCTGTGTTCCTAAAAGTGACTTTAAGTATTTTATAAACTATTAAAATTAATATATATGGGAAGAGGAAAGACGAATACCAACAATATCATAAAAACAAGGGCAATGAATTAAAAATTGTGATTAAATTAACTGTACAACTGGTTAAGATTCTAGAAAACATTTTGTACCCCACTGTGATTTATAAACTTCTAGAATTTTAACCAGTTTCATCTCCCATCCTTATGTCTATTTTCTGTACCCTATCTATGTAACCCTGAGAGATACACCGAAATAATTTGTATATGTATGTGTTCTATTTCCTTAGATGATGCTGAAGTATAGACCTTATTCTGTTTCTTTTACTTAATGTAATGTTTCTAAAATATATTCAGATTAATAAATATAGTTATGTCTTTACTTCTTACTGCTCCATGGTATTCCACATTGGATATATCCACCTCATTTTATTTAAGTAGCCTCCCAGAGTTGGATTCCTCTAGGTTGCCTCTGATTTCCTGCAACCACAGTAACCCTGAAGCAAAAACATTCATGCATATCCCCTTATGGAACTGTGAGTATTTCCCTCGGTTGTAGATTCAGAGTGGAATGTTAAAACAGAGGCTAAATACAGTACAAATACAATTGTCCTATGTTTTACCAAATTGCTCCCCAATACAATTTTACCAGTTTTATTCTCAATAGAAGTACATAAAGGTTCCCATTAAAAATCTTATTATCTTCCATCTTGAGTAACTGATAGGGCAAAGGAAGACTTGGCCAGTTTAATTTTAGAGTTATGTTTAAAGAGAATTAACATGGCGCTGACAATATTGATGTAAGCTTTTTGTGGTTACTGGGAATTTATACATTTGATATTCAAATGTTCTCAGACTGTTAAACTGCTGAAGCTGACATTGAATTGGAAACAAAGTATAAAAATAAGTACTTTTCCTTGATTTATCTTTGAAATATGCAAACAAACCCTGATATTATATTATTATGAAATGGTAGTACATTTTAAGAAGAAATTTTAAAACAACTGACACAAATGAATGATGATATATCTGCAACATTTTAAGCAGTTCCAGGAATAGTATTTTTTATAATTGAAATCACAGTTTATTATGAATTCACTAGGTAATTTGGGGGAAAAATTCATGTCCTATTGCTCATTTGTTTCAAACATAATTAATGATATTTTGCTTTTGTGTGGAGATATAATTATATTGTTACCTGAGTAAAAGTTTTATTTTTGATGTATCTGTGTTGGAAATGTAGAATCTGAAAATCTCTGAGGGATTTACAAATGAAATCAAGTTAGAGGACATGACTTCAGTGAAAACATGTAATGCTTCTAGCTACTGTTGGATTTTTCTATTTGATTTTTGTGTTGCATTATTTCTGGCCTTTTCTGAGTTTCACTGCTAACTCCTTCCTAGCCTCTAAAATGTAATTCCCTTCATATCACAGTCCTGAAATGGCTTTCTTCAAGGACAGATCTTTTTATTGCCAAATATAAAAGCATCTCTTCAGTCTTTATATTTTTAAAATCTGTGTTTACATTTTAATGTTCCTAATACTGCTTTTGAAACTCTTTTCACTTAATTTTTTGATCCTTTACTGTCCTGCCTCTCCTGCTTTTCTCTTCATCAGCTCTCTATTTGTGTTGCTTGTTCTACTTGTTCTGTACTTCTACTGTGCCCTACATCTTTTGTTGCCCTAACATCAGATATTTTTACCGCATAGTTTCTGGTCCTCTGCAATGTAAAGCCCTAGATTTAGGTCATAAAGAGTAATTACACAAGCACAGGGTGGGTGTACTTGGGCTTCGAATTAGTTCCTCTTTTGATGCATGTCTGAACATCTTAGGTATCAAAAATCACTCGTTCAAAATTGCAGCAATCCCACTGTACTCCATACTCATCACAGAGCATCTTTAAGCCTATGTTAAATTCTAAGCATCATATACTGATGGCAACACTGCTAAACTTGGATACCTCCAGAGAAGACGATCACAATGGTGAAGGATTTGGAAAGTATTTGATGAGACGAATGGAAGCTAGGAATATTTATTTTGGAAAAAGAAGACTAAGGGTATGCTTAATAACTGACTTCTAATATTTATATACATACCAGTACTTGGAAGAGAAGGAAGATTTCTTACCATGCTCCAAGTGACAGTGATAGAAAAATGGGTAGAACTTTCAAAAGGGAACATTTGCATAAGGAAGTACTGAATAATAACTAAGCCTCTCTAATCTAACGATAAAACACATTGCTTTGTGAAAAAAAGTTTAATGTTACTAAAATTAGATAATCAATCATCTCTGGTAGATGTTGTACTGAACTAGATTCCTTCCAGAATCATTTGCCACTCAAACCTCCTCTGAGTTTTCCCTGGTTCTTTCAAGAGTATGGCCATTTTCCTAATCAACTAACTCCAGACTTAAAAATCATTTTCAATTAATCCATTTTTATCTACCTCTTATATTAACTTGATTATTTTTTTTGAGACAGAGTTTCACTCTCATTGCCTAGGCTGGAGTGCAATGGTGTGATCTCAGCTCAGTGTAACCGCTGCTTTCCAGGTTCAAGCGATTCTCCTGCCTGAGCCTCCTGAGTAGCTGGGATTACAGGCACCTGCCACCACACCCGGCTAATTTTTTGTATTTTTAGTAGAGGCAGGGTTTCACCATGTTGGCAAGGCTGGTCTCAAACTCCCCAAGTTTTCCACCTGCCTCGGCTTCCCAAAGTGCTGGGATTACAGGTGTGAGCCACCATCCCTGGCCTAGTAATTTAAAAATACTTATTGATTCCCCAAACAGTCTTTGCAGCTTGCTCTTCTATGTTATTTTTCTTAATTTTTATTTTTTCTGTGTTACTGCTGTAGGCTTCTGGTCGTCTGCTCTAGTCCCAGTCTTTCCCACATTAACCCATGAGACCTTGATATAGTTTGGATGTGTGTCCTCATCTAAATCTCATATGGAAATGTAATCTCTAATGTTTGGAGGTGGGCCTGGTGGGAAGTTACTGGATCATGGGAGTGGATTTCTCATGATGATGTAGCACCATCCCGTTTGGTACTGTCCTCATAATAGTGAGTGAGTTCTTGAGAGATCTGGTCATTTATAAGTGTGTAGCTCATCTCCTCTAGCTCTATTGCTCCTCCTTTTGCCATGTAATGTGCCTGGTCCCTCTTTGCCTTCAATGGTTAGAAGCTTCCTGCAGCCTCCCCAGAAACAAATGCTGCTATGGACAGCCTGTAGAACCATCAGCAAATTAAATCTCTATTCTTATAAATTACACAGTCTCAGATATTTATTTGTAGCAGTGCAAGAATGGACTAACAAAGAAAATTGATAACAAGGAGTGGGGCATTGCTATAAAGATACCTGAAAATGTGGAAATGGCTATGAAACTGGGTAATGAATAGAGATTGGAAGATTTTGGAGGGCTCAGAAGAATACAGGAAGATGAGGGAAAGTTTGGAACTTCTTAGAGACTGGTTAAGTGTTTGTACCCAAAATGCTGACAGTAATACGAATGATGAAGTCCAGGCTGAGGAGGTCTGAAGTGGAAATGAGGAATTTATTGGAAATTGGAGCAAAGGTCATGTGTGCTATGCCAAAGCAAAGAGCTTGGCTGAATTGTGTCCATGCCCTAGGCATATGTGGAAGTTTGAATATGAGAGTGATGACCTAGAGTATCTGGTGGAATAAATTCCTAAGCAACAAAGTGTTCAACATAGTGGCATGGCTACTTCTAACAGCCTAGCTCAGATGTTAGAGCAAAGAAATAATTTGGAACATATATTTAAAAGGAAGTAAAATATAAAAATTAGCAAAATTTGCAGCCTGGCCACATAGGGGAGGAATTCAAGCAGGCTATGGAAATTTGCATACATAAAATGGATGCAAGTGCCGATAGCCAACACAATGGGAAAAAGGCCTCGAACACACTTCAGAGATCTAAGAGGCAGCCCCTCCCATCACAGGCCCAGAGGACTAGGAGGGGAAAATGGGTTCCTGGGCTAGACCTAAGGCCTTGCTGATCCGTGCATCCTTGGGACACTGCTCCCTGCATCCTGGCCACTCCAGCTCCAGCTAGCTCAAATGGGCCCAGGTGCGGCTCAAGCCACTGCTTCATAGGGTGCTAACAGTAAGGCTTGGTGGCTTCCACATGGTGTTAAGCCTGCAAGTGCACAGAGTGAAAAAAATGAGGCTTGGGAACCACTGCCTAGATTTTAGAGGTTGTCGGAAAAAGCCAGCAGTGTCCCCGCTGCAAAGGTGGAATCTTCATAGAGAACCTCTACTAGGGCAGTGTGGAGGAGAAATGTGGGGTTGGCATCCCCACACAAAGCCCCCACTGGAACACCGCTTAGTGGCACTATGAGAAGAGGTCTACCATCTTCTAGTTCCTAGAATGGCAGATTCCCCCAACAGCTTGCACCTTGCACCTGGAAAAGCTGCAGACATTCAACCCCAGCCGGTGAGAGCAGCTGCAGGGGCTGAACCCTGCAAAGCCACAGGGCAAAGAGGCCCAAGGCCTTGGGCGCCCACCTTTTGCACCAGTGTGTCTTGGATTAGGGACATGAAATCAAAGGAGATTATTGTGGAGCTTTACGATTTAATGACTGCCCTGCTTGATTTCGAACTTGCATGAGGCCTGTAGTCCCTTGGTTTTGGCTGATTTCTCCCTTTTGGAATGCAAATATTTAACCAATGCCTGTATTCACTAGGGTAGGCAGATAGCTAGACATGAGCAGGTGAGGAGAGCCTATGAGAAAACAGAGGTCTGAAAAGTCTCCCCAGGGACCACCAAAAACCTGCATGCTAGACATAAGCTGAGAGGAGGGGAAATACCTAAGCAGAAAGGATTTCCCCCTTAAGATGTCCAGTAATTGCTCACTGCAGTTAACCTATCAGAATGTAGTTACATGCTGATAAAGAGAGAAAAGAAGAAACTAATAAAATATGTACAGGCATAAAAAGTACAGATTTAACTGCTATATGACCTTCTTGGGGTTGCAGTTATGAGCAATGCAGCCATTAGGTAGGATTTGTATCTGGTACTGGGCCAGCCCATGCCACCAGCTAATAGTAAGGGAGGGTCCTATTAGGTGAACTACAGTTCCTTGCCTAGTCCCACCTTACCTAGTTCCCCACCTAGCTTCCACCTCATGTCCATCTATAACACGTTTACCTTTTTTTGTTGCTGATTTCACCACCCCATGGTAGAAACTAGGTGGGAACAAGGCAGAGACCTAAGACGGGAGTGGAAACACTAGACAAAGAAAAAAGGTAGAGACTTATGACATAGAGGCAGGAACTTCAAGAAACAGTCTGACATAATAAAAACCCAAAACGCAGAACTCTAAAGCTGCCGGTGGCTCACTCCCTTCAGCAGCCCACTCTGCCTCACCTGTGCAGAGCGTACTCTCCCTTTACCTAATTCTTTGCTCTCTAGTTTCCTTCAATAAACTCTCTTTTTAGCTAAATCAGTCACTTGGCAGAATGCTTTCTCCAGGTAAGACAAAGAACTGAGGATTACTGCACTTCCCAGTAACAGCCCCATTTTATCTTGGAAATAACTAACTTGCTTTTGATTTTACAGGCTAATAGGCAGAAGGGACTCCTAGACTTGTCTCTTAAGAAATTTTGGACTTTGGACTTTTGAGTTAATGCTGGAATGAGTTAAGAGTTTGGGGATTATTGGGAAGGCATGATTGTATTTTGAAATGTGAGAGGGACATGAGATTTGGGAAGGGCAAGGGTAGAACGACATAGTTTAAATATGTATTTGTGCCCAAATCTCGTATTGAATTGTAAGCCCCAGTGGCATAGGTGGGGCCTGATGGGAGGTAATTGGATCATGAGGGCAGTTTTCTCATGAGTGATTTAACAGCATTCTCACTGGCACTGTCCTTGTGATATTGAGTGTTTTCTCATGAGATCTGATCATTTAAAAGTATGTAGCTCCTCCCCTCACTCTCTTGCTCCTGCTTTCGCCATGTTATGTGCCTGCTCTCTCTTTACCTCCTGCTATGATTGGAAGTTTCCTGAGGCTTCCCCAAAAGCAGATGCTGCTATGTACAACTTACAGAACCATGAGCCAATTAAATCTCTTTTTTATTTTAAATGAATTACCCAGTTCCAGATATTTCTTTATAGCAATGTGAGAATGGACTAATACAGGCCTACAAGGCAAAATATTCCTTAACATCATGCTCAGCATATGGGCCTCCCTGAAATTTCTGCAGAAACTTCTGGTTTACAGTCTTTGCCTTGCTCAAAATTTTCTATTCCTTGGCCCCACTATAATGATTTTATTTGCTATATTTGATTTCTTATCCTTCTTTAATTCAGTGAATTCAATCTGGACTTATTCATGCTCCCTGAATACTCTTTCTTCACACCAGTTTGAATTCACTCATTTGCTCTCCTACCATGTAAGAAATATTCCTAAGGTATTGTGTTCCACATGCCTCAGGGGCTCACTGGACCCAAAACTCTTGGTACTTTTGGTCTCAAGACTCCTAATTCTGCTTTCAGTAGCCCACATTTTGAAACAAACTCTTTGCTTCTCCTTCTTCCTTTGGGAGAAAAGCAACAGTGACAGTTGTAGTAGCAACAACAAATAGCTCTTTACAATACAAAATAGCAGCTACCATTTTGCAAAAATAGGCTAAAATATCTTTTACTTTTTCATGAAGAGCCTTTAACTGAGAAAATGAAACTCAAGTAGTAATTCAATTATTTATCCCAAGTCAATGCTGATTCATAATCCAACGAATCACAATTTCCAGTGACACAGAAATAGCAGTATGTCTGTCTAAGGTATATATATACTCTGTTGTCCAGAAGTAACTACAGTTGATTCTCATTATTCCTGCATTCTGTATTTGAGAATTCACTCACTTGCTAAAATGTATTTGTAACCCCAGAATCAATACTCCCACTGCTTTTGCCATTATTTGTGGACATGAGCAGGGTGGCAAAAAATTTGAGTTGCCTGACTCATATATTCTCAAGTTAGGGTCAAACAAGGTGACACTACCTCTTTGTTTTAGCTTTCATGGTGTAAACAAGTGTCCTTTTTAATGATCTATGTAATGACACATTTTTTGACGTTTCTTGGTTGGTGATTTCACTATTTAAAATGGTCTTCACACATAGTGCTGAAGTGCTGCCTAGTGTTTCTGAGCTCAAGAAAGCTCAAGATATGCCTTAGGGGGAAAATACATGTGGTAGATGAGCTTCATTGAGGCATGAATTATATTGCTGTTGACCATGAGTTCAATGCTAATGAATCAACAATATATATTAAATGAGGTGCCTATAAACAGAAACACACATAAAACAAGGTTATGCATTGATCAGATGACAAAAAACGTTACGATCAGAGGCTTGCAGGAACCTAACCATGTATTTCTGCTAGAAGCAGTGTTTTAGAACTTGCCGATTCAGTGAGGTGACTTTACAGATCACAACTACTGCAAATAAAAAGAACTGACTGTATAATTCTCTAACTAGAGAATGGATAAAATACATTATAAATATGGAAAGAGGTGATTATTTTTCCCTACTCTTTCAATTAGTAAAAAATCTAATTTGGAGCAAGGGAGTAAAAGAATGTGGACACACCTCTTTTGCAGCCAAATTTAACATCAGGACATAATTCAGAAAACAAGTGGTATAGCAAGCACTGTGCAAACTGTCAAAGATGAAGAACTGTATTAGAATTGGCAAGAAGACAAGGAGGAGGAGAAAGGTGGGGGACAGGAGGTGGAGGAAAAGTGGAGGGAAAGAGAGAAGAGAAAAAAAATACCTAAGAAAATGTAAGTGAAATAAATCAATGTAAAAAAACTAAAGATTGCCAAGCTGATGAAAATGGAAACTGTAGTGCGGCTGGCAAAAGGTCTTATAATGACTGTGCTGTTTAAAGCTTGTGTTTCATTCCATTTTAGAGCAATAAAAGTATGAGAAACAGAGTGTAGTCATAACAATTATATTTAGAGAAAGGAAATTGTCTTAAGATATGCTCTTTAAGTTACCCTTCCAGCTTTTTCCTCACCTCAAAATATTTCAAAGACTTATTTCAGAGAGGGGGCTTGATGCGGGTGAACGGGGCAGACTCAAGGAGCTGTGTTGTGTCTGGGCTTTGTAGGGAGGGAAGCAAGGCACTGCAAGAAAGAACTGAGAAGGCATACTGGAGAGAATGAAGAAGGAGATGGGGAGGAGTCAGTTTGCAAAACTGCTGTGACAACAGCTGCTTGGCATATGAATTCCATTATTTTGTGCATTCTTTTCTAAACCTTGCCACCTATAAGGGACTAGAATCTGCAGACCATTGGGAGCTTTCTATAGAAAAGCTATTCACAGGATCTGGAAGAAAATGAGATAATTTTGTATTTGGTAGTATTTTGATTGTTATAAACTGAAAAGTCCTGCTGTACTTCCTCCCACTCCTCCCCCAACACTGATCCTCCCTTTCAATCCAACTTTTATCCTATTATATAATTTTTACAAAGAAGCCATTGGAGTGTAAAAAGGACCTCTATAAGGGTGGTCTCCTTTCATAACTGAAGCACTGTACCCTTGAACTTAAATGGTTTCTATTAAGTTATATTTGCAATGTCTGCACCATATGAAATAAAGGGCCATTATGATTGTTCAGGTGTGTGAGGCTCTTACTTAAAGAAAGAGGAATTGGCATAATAACTTTTTCATTAATGGTCTTCATGTAGTAGGGTGAATGTAGAAAAGAGTGTTTTATGTTCAATGGACTCAGATTCTAAGGTAACATGAATTAAGGAGGAAAAAATGGCCTGAGGAATTTATACTCAAGATAAAATACAGAAAGGATGAGGAAACTTTTCTAGATTTTGGACTGATATATTTGTGGATTTGAGAAAGGATTTTCCTCTAGTGTGCAACAGCAGGCATTCAGAAGGCACAAAGCATAGTAAGAACCAGAAACATTTGCCATCAAAGAGAATCCAGAGTTTCCCATTGTTAGTTAGGGGTTTCAGACCTGGACTGTCTGCAGCAGGGGCAGGCATTTTAGCTGCCTCAGCCTCTTCACTCTTGGTTGATATGTATTGTCTCTGATCCCTCCCTTTAGTTTTCTTTCTTTCCTGAGCTGCTGTTTGCCTGAGGCTTAATAGGAAGGGTTTGGGCAACTTCAGAGCATTGAATTGATTGATTTGTTGATCTTTAAGACTTACTCCCACCCAGCCTGGAGCCTCCTGTGTTTGCAGAGTCTGATTGTGAAGTATTTATGAGCTTCTCATAGCTGGTTCACAATTGGTTAGGATTGCAAATGGCAATAGCAGATGTAACACAGGGTCTTCTGTGAAACAAGCCAATGGTGTGTCACATGAGAAGGATGAGCTAGGGCACTGATCATGATTAATTTTAAAATGACATTTAATTAATATGGACATTCATGGGCATTAGTGTCTGGAATGACATCCTGTGATCTCCATCACGTTCTAAAATCTGAAACAGAGATGCCTGCTTTATATGGCTCATTTACCTTTGAATTCTCATGAGCAAACTAATTTCTCTAAAGCAGCCTCAATAGGTAGAGTTGAATGAATTCTTTGAAAATGCATGCCTGTTTTTCATTTACATCTTTTAGGAGGCAAAGATATTGTATATGATTTCACTGAAGTAATCAACAGTATATCAGCTAACTGTAGCTAATGATATCATACTGTGTATCAAGAACCTTATTGTCATTTTCCTTTCCAGAATTACTAGCTGAAATCATTCCTCATAGAGGAATTTTTCTTCAGTGACTAATTTATTGGGGGTTTCTCTGAATTTGGAGTTTTGCCTTTATGACCAAAAGCCATTTTTCGGATGAATCTGGTTGAGATGTCACTTTTTCCAAACTTGCTGCCGTGCCCTTGACAAAGAGCCATTTGATTGGTTCTTAAATAGATCCTTCAACAATTGGGTTCTTTTAGAAGATGCTGTCATGTATTCACCTCACTTACAAATCTCCGTCGTGTCCAAGAGAGATGAGTAAAAATACATTAGTCGAATGGTTTGTCGGTATGAATCCAAATGATATTACAACTTTTTCCTCTAGACTGTACCAGGAATACTTTGGAGGAGTAAAATAAATACCATTTATTTAATGATGGGGAAATTGTTACACATTTGATGAGGTTGTCTCTGGCTATCATTGTATGACAATCATAATAATGAGGATGAAGATGATGGTGATAGTGATGATGGTCATCTACTACTTACTGAACACATCCTATATGCCAGGCTCTATGTACATTTTCTAAAGGAATAATTTAGTGTATTTCCCACATTAGCCATGGCAGGTGGTTTTTATTCCATTTTCTAGACAAAAAGTTCAGTCAGGCTATGTAAATTGCCAATGACACAGTGCCTTAATGTCAGAGCTAGGTTCCTACCCCAGGTCTGATTGATTTCAAAGCCTACTTTTAACATTTACACAATAAAAGATGTAGGATATCAAAAATGGAATGCCTATTTGGGCCATGCAGGTAAATTAATGTGATGGGTGGAATGTAGTAAGACCTCCAATCAAATGTATCACCACTTCTCAAACTGTTCAGTGCACAGAAGTCACCTGCTGATCTTGTTCAAGTTTTAGATGCTGATTCAGTAGTTCTGGGACAGAGCCTAGGATTCTGCATTTTTAGCAAGCTCCCAGGTGCAGCCAATCTGGTAATTTAAGGATCACAGTTTGAAAGAAATAAATTTTTAAGCACATTATCCTGGCGAAGTAGAACAAATTGCCTACTTTACATATGCTGGGTAGGGGTCATGCTCAGTGTGACTCGGCTCCAGGCTAGAGAAGCATGCTGTTTGGGTGGCAAGAAGATTTTATGATCTCCCACATTTTTTAAAGATGAAAGTTGTCTGGTTCTAAAATTAGTTATTTACCCAAAACCACCCCATGTATTAATGACAGAGCTGCGGGCTGAAACAATGTCTTCAAGCTCTGAGTGAAATGATTTCAACTGTGGTACTACACTTTGCTGCCTATCTTACTCATAAAGTTATGGTAATATTTTTGTTGGTTTCTCTGATTTATTTAAGCCAGATATGTCTTTATGTATTTGTTTCTGGTAAAAGTGAAATTCTGTGTGTGTATGTGTGTGAAATCCTGATTAATTGAGTTTTCTGTTACTTTGGTTCTGGTCTAAGGGTATTTTCTGTTCTAAGGCAAAACTACTGTTTTAAATGTACCTTGAGTATTTGGATACTCAAGGCCAGTTTACTAAGTATTCTTTTTCACTTCTAAAATTAACTAAAGAGTTACTCTGCATTATTCAGGAGCCTCTCTTATTGCTCAGAATACTTCTTAGTAGTAGGTTAACCATGATACAGGGTTTCCTGTTTTAATAACATTTTTGGGAAACAGGCATGAACTTATTACCTCACTACAAACCTCCTTTCACTATTATATAAAATAGTCTTAGATTCCTTCTTGCTGCATGGCTGTGCTTCATCCTGGGTAAATTGTTTACAGGAGTTCTGTTCTTTCTTCTGTGGAAAGACAGTAATTAGATTACATGAGATAAAAAATTGGTATCTACCACCCCATGCTTGTTAATTTTTTAAAAAATAAAACAATGACCTAAATAGGACGTACACTAAGAAGTTTTCTTTTAAATATGAACTGTAAGAGTTTCCACCCATTCCCTCTTCTCCCCCCCTTTCTCCTGTACTGGTGCGATTTATCAATGCTATCTTTGTGAAGCAGGAAAGTGATATACAAAGGGTTTGTTGAAAAATGCTATTTTTGATTTGCTAAATTCTATAGGAATATAGCATGGAGGCAATCCACTAAAGAAAAACATCTAATGCGGTTGCATTTCTCACTTCTGCCAGGATTGTGCAATAACAAGGCCTATAAGGGACACCAACATGGATGTGCTAGTGTTGATAAAACTTTTAGCCAGTGGCTTAGTTTCCTTGTTTGCTTCCCGCTAAAGGTGAATACAATGGCTGCAAAGCAGTCACTTTCAGTCCCACTTTTATTCTCTTACCTTTCAAGTTTAAGCTTATAGTCTGCATAGTTATCAAGCTGCCCACCTAGAAAGCTTGAAAAATTATGGCATATTTCAACACATTTCCTTGTGGGGTATTCAGAGGATAGAGTAAATGTCTCAGCAAACCCTTTAGTATATAGTAACCCGCAGTAGAAGAGCAAAGTCAATAGCTTCCATTGTTCACATGGCAGCATTGGATGCATTGTTTTTGCTGGTGAAAGAGAGCCCACACAGAAGAGATTAAACAAAAAAAAAAATCAAGTATAGTATGTAGCTAACAGCTTCACTGTTCTATGGAAAATAATAGTTTTTATTCAACTTTAACAAAACAGAATTCACGATTCAAGGCTGAGTAGATAATAACCTGCTATGCAGTTATGTGTTTTTGTGCAAGCATTGTGCAGTGGATGGAAATTCTTAGATTTCTACCTCTCCTTCCTACTGATTACAATCTGCAAAAAAAAAAAGTCATTTAAAATTACCTGTACTTTTGCAAAATCTTGAATGAAAAATCCATTTGAATAGAATACATACTCAATTCTCAAGATATTATAAATAAAAATAAAAAATTAGAAACTATTCCAAATCAAAAGCTTGTGTTCTCACTATTTCCAATGTTGTTCACATTATCTTAAGTTTAGTGAAAACTGGGTAACGATTTTTTTTTTTTTTGAGACAGAGTCTTACTCTGTCACCCAGGCTGGAGTGCAGTGGTCACTCTCAGCTCACTGCAACCTCTGCCTCCCAGGTTCAAGCGATTCTCCTGCCTCAGCCTCCCTAGTAGCTGGGACTACAGGTGTGTGCTACCAAGCCTGGCTAATTTTTGTATTCTTACTAGAAACGGGGTTTCACCATATTGGTTAGGCTGGTATTAAACTCCTGACCTCGTCATCCACCTGCCTCGGCCTCCCAAAGTGCAGGCATTAGCCACCATGCTTGGCCATGATTTTTGATGTGGTCTTATCACTCTCTAGGATGATACGTTTATAAGTTAAATAAAAAAGTGAAAAGAGCATATTGGCTGAGTAGATTCCTTTGAGCCAATACTTGACCTACTCTAATGATTTCAGAGATGCTTTTTGGATTTATTTATATCAGAACTGTTCTATCAGAAGTAGATATATAAATTCACAACATTAATTCCATGAAAGCCATACATGATTATGGGTTAGTTCAGGTATTTGCATTCTAATATAAACTCTCTTATACTGTTAAAAAAACGACATACCTACCTGCAACATTACCAAAACATTAGAAAGAAGAAAATAGTCATCCATATTACCACCGCCCAAGTTCAAACTAATTTAATTCATTGTATTCTATTTCTATCTATTACTCAATTGATTTTCTGCCTGTTGCAGAAATATCAATATTTTACATCATTTTAAATCATTGCATAAATAATGAACATTTTTTTCTGACTTTTTTCATTTAATATCATATAATGAATATTGGTCCTTGCTGGCCCATGGGCTTCCAAATTATCATTTAAGTTTTGCATAGCATTCAATTTGCTTGATGATGCTTTATTTATGTAATCATCTCCTAATTATTGGGCTATTCATTTGTTCTTAATATGATAATAATTGAAAAAGCTACAGTGAATATATTTACCTTATGTTATTTAAAACATTTATTGGGCCAGGCTCAGTGGCTGATGCCTGTAATGCTAGCACTTTGGGAGACCGAGGTGGTTGGATTACCTGAGCTTAGGAGTTTGAGACCAGCCTGGGCAATGTGGTGAAACCCTGTCTCTACTAAAATACAAAAAATTAGCCAGGAGTGGTGGCACGCCTGTAGTCCGAGCTACTCAGGAGGCTGAGGCAGGAGAATTGCTTGAACCTGGGAGTGGAGGTTGCAGTGAGCCAAGATCACACCACTGCACTCCAGTCTGGGCAGCAGAGTGAGACTCTGTCTCAAAAAAAAACAAAAAGTTATTATAATTATTTTTATTTTAACACTGTACTTTTTGTAGAATACTTGCCTTTTATTAAGAATTTAAATAACTCAAGAATGACATATAATTTATAAAAAATATACTAACGAAACAATAACAACAAAACAATGGCATGCCACTACTCATAAGTAACCATTATTTGTGAGACCTCAATGCCAGATATTGTCATTTTGTATTTTTGTGCATAATACAAATAGAAATATAGGTAGATCTATAAATTTCTATTTTTGTTATACTAGATTATTATTTGATTTTATTATATAGCAATTTAGTATTTACAGCTAATGTGTAATAAAATCATTACATTAAATTTTTCTTATTTTAATTATTGAAAAACTCCAAGGGAGAGTGGGTTACTAATTTTTTTTTTTTGCATCTCCCTTTTCCCAAATTAAGAGTTACTAAATTTTAGATAAGTATTTACCACACGAATTTATTTTCTAAAAAGACAATTCTATGAAAGGAAACTGTGAGTGAAACATTAAAATGAGAATCTTTTTAAAAAATTTTACACATTAATTGTAGATAATTCCGACTGAGTTCTTGCTATGCAAAGGCAAACATTAGAATACAAAAGGTACCTCTCCACTTTCTTCTATATTCTAATTTTGTTAGTTTTATAATTATTTTCACATAATCAGTATTTATATTTTGTTGTGTTAAACATAAATCATATAACATTTATTATTTCTACTAGTTTCATATTTTAAAATATTAAAATCTCACCACTATAATTTCTAAAGCATTTTTAAAAATCTGTTCCTGAATTGATGATTGCATTTAGTTTTGAAATGATCATTTCAGGAAGGGTTCAAGGTTACCTATGTTTGAGTTATATACATTTGAGGTTTTCTGCCTATTGCCTTTATGCTTGAACATGTTGTTTAGGTATAATGATCTTGGCTGATGAGACAATTCCCACTCTCTCCTGCCAGTGATAGTTGCTGTATACAAACTTGAGAGCCATCTCAATTTTTATCCTTTGTCAACACTTCATATTTCCCATGTAGATGCTTTGAAATTTTCCTATATTGCTTCCTGCATATGTACAAAACAAGGCATATTTCAGATTATTTATCATCTTTGCAATATGAAAATGTTTAAAATGTCCCAAATGTTCACTGATAAGGATTGGTTAAATAATTTGTATACATGCATATGCAATGGACTACTTTGTTGCTGGAAAAAAGATTGAAGAAGCTATTTATGTACTGATGTGAAAAGATTTCTAAAAAAAATTGTTAAATGAAAAAAATGCAGAATGGTGCATTGTTAAAAGAATAACTTTAGACAAATTAAGTTTAGCAGAGTTTATTTGAGAAAAGAAATGATTTATGAATTGGGCAGCACCCTGAACTAGTAAAGATTCAGAGAGCTCCATGCAGCAATGTGGGCAGGCAGCATTAATAGATAGAAAAAGGGAGTGATGTACATAAGTAGCCTGATTAGTTAAAGCTCAGCATTTGCCTTATTTGGATATGTTTGAACAGTTTGCAGCCTGTAATTGGATGATAACTCAGCTTCTATAATTGTCCAAGGAGACTCAGCTACTTGATACAAGAATATACTCTTAAGTTAGGTTGCAGTTTGTTTACATACTAAATAAAGTTGCAGTTTACTACGTAGGGGGGCAGCTGCAGGCCAAACTTAGTTTAACTAACAATACTTCCATTTTGTAAGAAAGGGGAAAAATTAAAATATGTGTTTTTGTTTTTAGGCATTTGGATAAAGAAACTCTGGAAGAATTCTTTTAAGATTAAGGAAAGTGATTACCTGTGATGGAGATGAGTAATGAGCAGATGGCTCCAAGGATGAGAGTCAAAATTTTTATCCTGTACCATTTTATATTATTTTATTATTTAAATCATATAAGAATAAAATAATAAAAAACATTAATTTAAAAAATACTAACATAGCCATACTGATTAGACAGAAATTGAAACTTGGTTTGCTTCTCAATATTTTAAAGCTGATTCAACATGCTGGTTCATATGCAGATTTATTTATGACAACAGTTCCATGGAAAAATCATCTATTTTAATAGCTATTTAGCAAGCAGGAAACTGAGCTCAATATTCTTCACTCCCCAACTCTCCTCCACTCAAATATGCTGCTACTTCCATTTTTTTTTTTAACCTCATGGGCTTGGGAGTCAAATAGGGAATTATTTATGTTCTATGAGGAAATAGTAAATAAAAATCAGCTCCTTCTGACTTTTGCAGACTCCCTTAACATTTCCGACAAATATTGATTGTTGATTTGGCTCTAGTCATGTTAACAAGCAGAGTGAATTAACTGTAGTTATCACAAAACAAAGTTAGTCCTGTGACTACCAACAGATGCTTTTAAAATATTGTACATAGTCTTTAACTTGGGAGGAAAAATGCCTTCATTGATCTTAGGTCTATGAAACCTCTAGTATTCTAAATTAAACAATGGCCACAATAAAGTGTTTTTCCTGCTAACTTTATCTTTTGAATTGTCATTCTTTTCTATAAAATAATAAATAATCTCATATAGAGTAAACATCTACTATTGACCAGGCACAATAAATGAACCAAATAAGCATGAGGTAATCTTACAATGAATTTGGGGTCAGAAAATTCAATAATCTTACAATGAATTTAGGGTCAGAAAATTTAATAACCTCAAATGATCATACAAATATGTTTATATCACCTCGAAGTGATATCATATCATTCTTTGAAGAAATTCTTATGCTTTTTGTAATTATGTAATATTTTCATATTTAATGATTTAGTTTTGCACTTTCTCTTTTATACTCAGTATTTTAAAAATAAGTAAGAGTATTAAAATGGTGACAAGATTTCCTCATTTTGCTCTAAGAATGAACTGCATTATTGTTCGCATCACTGAGATGCATTGTCAGCTCTGTCTTGATCAGTGACCAGAAACAATAATCTGGTCACAGTGCACAGGTTGGGTTGAGAGACAGATGAATGAAAGTTTGGTGATAGAAAGCAGTCCGAATTTTTTTTTTCATATAATAAATGGGGTCTTGCTCTCTCACCCAAGCTGGAGTGTAGTGGCACAAATATGGGTCACTGCATCCTTGACCTCTTGAGCCCAAGTGATCCTCCCACCTCAGCCTCCCAAGGAGCTGGATGCCCTGGCTAATTATTATTTATTTTTTGTAGAGACAAGGTCTCTCACTTTGTTGCCTAGGCTGGTGTTAAACTCCTGGGCTCATGAATTATGTGTAGCTCTCAGAAACAAAGTTAGCCCCATGCCTTGGCCTCCAAAGTGTTGGAATCACAGGCATCAGCCACTGCTCCCAGTCAAAAATTCTGAAAATGATCCCCGTGAGATAGCAAGAACCTGTATGAAATTAGTGGCAATGAGAATAGAAATGAAAGGAGAGTAGAAAATGCTATTCAGGGACAGAATCTATAGAATGTGGAGCTAAATGGAGACAGCAGTGACACCAGTCATGAAAGAGGAAGGTAGTATCTTAGTATTAGTTTGGAATAAAATAGAATAATAAAATTACATTTTTCAGCATGTTTTGAAGCTTTTTAAGGATAAGGACCATGGTTATTAATTAGTTCATTCTTTCAGTAAATATTCAAATGAATTTATAAGAATTTACTTGATGCTGCTAACCAAAGTAAGTGCTAGTAATGTAAAAATTAGAGGGCACAATTCCCAAATATCTTCTTGTGTAATAGGGAGGTAAGAATCAAGGTAATAACCCCTCCTTCTCCACCTCTCATATGACTTAGAATTTAGGTGCTAAATAAAGGTTTCTAAGTGTCAATTATTTTTTGCTATTTTCTTCCTTCATAGCAATGCATTAGGACTTTGCTGTATCAGACTCGAGAAAATAAGCTGATAAGATTGCAACTATTCCAAAGTGGTAACAGGCAAGGATGTAGTGCATCATAATCAGAGTTGAGAATAGTGTCTATTTTTTTCTTCTCTTCTGACTTGACAACAAAAGCATTGTTTAACATGTCAAATCACAGCAAAAATCCCCTTTTTCTGAGTCAAAATCAATTATTTTAAATAATTCATTCACAAGTAAGTGCGTGCATGCTCTTTCCACAAGCTGCTGTCACTACTAAGGAGGTGTAGGTGATTGTCAAGTGGCCCATTCTCCTCTAACGTAAACCTGTTCTTAAAAGTGCTCGTCCCATAGACTTTGCTTCAAAAGAGAGCAACTCTTCAACTCCTGCGTGTAACAGCGAAAGAGTGGACAATGCCCTTTTGCATTATGTGGTGATCATTAATATTATTAACCGTAAAATGATGTCGTCAGCTTAAAATTCAGCCTTTGAATCTTTGGCCTGCTGAATTCAGCTTCCCCAGGAGACTGAAAAGCTGTGCAAGTGTGTTACTCTTATTTGCTCTGCACTGATTATTAGTTTCGCTGACTGACCTCTTGATGCCTCTATAGAGCAGAATGTAAATGGAACAGTGCCAGAACTTCCGCTCCAGAGAATGCCTTTTTTCTGTCAGTGACAGCAACAAAAAAAGAAAGCATAATAGTTTTTCCCTTCCTAGTGGAACTGAACATTGGAAATGGTGCTTTGGGATGGGTCTAGGGCAAGGGGTAACAATGATGCCTCCAGTGTCTTAACCACTTGCTGGGTGTGGCTTCTAGGACCTGCTAATGACCAGCATGCCTCAAGAAGGATAAACTCCCAATACCTTAGCAGACTTCATTGATTTCTGGAATGCCAAAGAACAACTGAGCCCTCCAAGGAGAAGCAGAGAATTTACAGCTGGAAAGAGGTTGTGAAGGTTTATTACTGATTCAATATCCTTCACAATTTCAGGAGGGACTTGAAAGGAAACAGAGTGACAGGATTTTAGAAGAATCTTGAAATCCAACAGAAATTTCCAGATTCTTTGGGATTCTCACAACACAAGCAGAGGGTCTTTGAATCACTTTGCTATTTCAAAAAGACTAATAAAAATTGTACCCAAATTCTAAATGCGCCCCGCTTCTCCAAAGCATCAAGTTGCTTTGATTTTGGTTAGGCTTAGTAAGGTGATCTGCTTGTGGCTCATGAAAGCCCTATTTGTATGTCTTTGATTAAGATCAGTAAACAAATACTCTGTTACTGAAATGTGGTTGGCAAAATCCTTTAAGCATAAGGATTCCTGGGAGAAAAAAAAGTAACAAAGCATTTTTGATAGTAAAAGATTAGAAACTATTTATGTAGAGCTGCAGTGACCAATGTGGTAGTCATGAGACACGTGTTGGTATATTCATTGAAATTAATTACAATCAGCAAATTAAAAATTCTGTTTCTCAGATGTACTAGCCAAATTCCAAATGCTCAAAAGTCACATGTGGCTAGTGGTGATTACATTGAACAATGCAGAGACAGAATATTTCAGAAATTCTGTTGGATAGCACTAAATACAAACACTTTTGAGTAGATCTGAGTTTCTCAAAACATAAAAAATTACATACATCTATTTTCTCTGTGTCCATATTTTTACTATAAAATTAAATAATTAATAGAATGATGAAAACTAAAACAGTGCTAACTGATACAAGAGAAAGCAAATCCTCTTGCCTCTATTATCATTTGTTTTTAATACCTCTGGTGGGGTCAGCAACCTCCATAATTCTACATAATCCACTTGTACATATATTTCTTGATCTGTCAATTTCAAATAGACTCCCTGACATAGAATATTACACATTTGATACACACTTAAACATTTCTCTATAATTACTTCCCAGGCCTGCCAGATCCATTTTTAAATTTTCACTTCTACTGGTAGTCATTATGAAGTAACATAATATTCTAATGCAATAATCATTTTGATTACTTAAGATGTTATTATCTGCCTACTTTATGATGAGAAAACATATGCCCCTCCATTTTCCTCACCTCCTCTCCTTTCAATACCTTTCCAAATTAATCCACCATATAATTATTTTAAATAATCTACAGTTAGAAAACCCAGGGCTTTGGGAGGCCAAAGCAGGAGGATCACTTGAGGCCAGGAGTTTGAGACCAATGGACAACAAAGCAAGATTCTATCTCTACAAAAAAATTTAAAAAAACAGCTAGACATGGTGATGCCTACCTGTAGCCCTAGCTACTTATGAGGCTGAGGTGGGAGTGTTGCGTGAGCTTGGGAGATCGAGGTTACAGTGAGCTATAATCATGTCATTGCACTCCAGCCTGGGTGACAGAGTGAGACCCTGTCTTAAAATAACAATAATAATCTATAATTATAAAACATACATACACACATACTTTAGGCTTCCAAGTTTTGCCCATAGTTTGGGTCTAAAATTGAAGCCAAGAATTAATATTTATAATATTATGATCATGTAAATATTAATTGCAGAATTATGTGAATGACTTAAAGTGATGGACACATATTCCTTTGTCATTGACCTGTTTCTACTAATGTAGAATATGGTTAATATAAATTTACGGGGTTATCTGACTTCTTAATGTTATTCTAGATAATCTACGACTTTCTATTCTAAATTATTATTTACTGGCATGGTGTGTGACTCACATCCTAAGATTACTTTCTTTTATTCCTGAGAGTGTCTTCTTTATTTTACTCTTAAAACCTATTCTATTTCTTCCTCCTCCTTGTAGTCCTTTTTCATTTTGCTGCAAACTATTGTCATGAAATTATTTTATACAGGGTTTTGGAGTAGTAATTTTTCTAAGTTTTTGTATGTGAAGTAATTTTTTTCCTCATACTTGGTTAAATATTAGAGTAAAAATGAGATTCTAGATCCAAACATTTCTATTAGAATTTAACATTTTCATTGTGTTTTATTCTAACATCTAATCTTGCTGATGCCTGCCCCGCCCGCCCCCAGTTCTAGTATTCCTATGCATTTCTTTTCCAATGGCTCAAAAGATATCCAACCTCAATACTTCCTCATTTGGCAAACCCTCTCATTTGGCGGTTGTCATAGTAGTTGATGTGATTCTATTGACAAGGAAAGACCAAAGAGATGCTTTTCTTGTCTTTCTAGTAAATTATCTTGTTAAGTCTGTAATGAATTCTGAAAGCAATGTAGGACATGTCAATTGTTAAACTCACTGAGAAACTCTATTGGCTCCTGAGGAATTATTAGATATCTTTGGTTTTTGTTCTGTATTTCCATGGTCTCTGCAAATAGAATTCCATGAAATTATGTGGTACATAGAATATTTCAGCTTCTGCAGATGGAGAGGAAATGGTTCTTCCACAAGTTCTCTACAATGAAAATTTCTCTTTGTTCAGAGAAAGATGCATGTTGATAAGTGAACTTGATAGGAATGGAATTAAAAATAAACCCTTTTTATAATCAGAGTTATGGGGTTTACGACATAAGATGGTCATGTGGTTTATTCTGTTTTTTTCAGTTAAGATTATACTATACCATTTGAGGAAGCTATTTGGATATATCTAATAATTCTAAGTGAAAGAAACCAAATAATTTCTTTTGCTAGGTCATTTCGTTCTGCCTGAACTTCCTTTTTTTATGTCCTTTATTATTCTATGTAAGGAAATAAAGAATAAAGTTCTAGGCAAATAGAACTTTTTCCAATTATATGCATTGAAAATTCACAGTTGGCCAGAGAAAATGAGTATTTACTATTTTGTTGCTGGGAGTAATTTAAAAAGAGAAAGTCAAATATATCCATTTTCAGTTGGTATGTGTGTGGGCTACTAAAAAGAATAAAATGAAAGAAATGTTGATGGTATTCAGTCGAAAAAAATGAGGTAGGAAGTCAGAAAGCCAAAGAACACTATGGAGAAATAAATGTTAATGGTCAGAATAGTAAGCAGATTGTAATATGTTCTATCATTTTTATTCATCGCAGAACAATTGAGAAAGCCTACTTTTATATAAGTACATGCACATATAGGTGGTAGTTAGAATCATTCGTGGTATGGGAATGAATGATAAATAAAAGATACTGATTACTAAAATAAATTATTAATATTATTACCTTACTTTTGGCCTAGACTTTTAAAAGATTTATTGTGTTCCTACTGCAAGCTTGTTAGTCAGTCAGGGCAAGGTAAAACTATGACTTTTTCAAAGAGGTTAATTGACTTGCCCAAGGTTAAATAGCTTGTCAGTGGAAGCATTGGTGCTGGAACCATTATTTGCTATCAGTTCACCATTTTATTACAATTTTGTTGCTATCCCAACTCCACTCCAGTGAAGAGAGAAAAAAATAATTTACTCACATGAAGTAATAATATGGGAATGTAATGCTCAGCTTTTGACAGTGATGGGAGACTAAATAGGGCGTGATGGCATTGGATTCTAGAGTTGGAAAAAGCTTTACGGAGAACATAGGATTTGTGCTGGTATGTACGGGTCATCTTAGAGCCCATTTAGTTGCCTTTATGAATTCCAAGGCTAGAATGAAACTCACTTCTCTGGCAAGCCTGTTATATAGATTGATGTGGTGGCTTTTATTGGGATGGCTTAAAATATTTTTTTCCCTATATGAAACTTTCAGAATTATGTGCCTCTCATGAATCACTACATTAAAGTACAAATTTAATAATAATGGTGAATGACTGCTAAGTTGCTCAGTATATTAGGGGAGATAGTCGTAATTTTGATTAAACAAACATTTCTTAAATGAGACATAGAAAAAATATCAAAAATGGAAAATTTCATAAAATAGACAACATTTTTATTGGAAATTACTGTATAATTAAGAGAAAATCCAGAAAGTGGCCAAGCAACTGATTGGAAGAATATATTAGTTATGTGTATAAATAACAATAAATTAGTATGAAGAATTTCACAAATAAGTAAAGCAATGTAATATGCTGATTTAAAAAGATGGGCAAAGAAGTTTAACCTGAATGGCTACAATCCTGGTAAAATATCTATAACATCACCAACAATTCTAGAGGTTAAAAATAATAAAACATATATTTTTATATTATATTGGCAAAACAATGAAAATTACAAAACTACATGTTGAAGAAGCCATTGGAAAACAAGAACTCAATAACTATTAGAAGTTCTATACATTGCTGCAGCTGTTTAATAAAACAATATGACAAAATGTACTGAAGTGGAAAATGTACACACCTCATGACCTAGTATTACCATTTCTAAGTATATTGCTCAAAGAAATTCCCATACATTTGTGGAAGTAGATGTGCAGACCGCTACAGTCTAGCATGATCTGTAATAGAGAAAACTTGGAAATGACACAAATATCTATCCGCAAACAAAATAATAAATAGTAGTATATTCATTAATGGGATCCCATATCTGGCAGTTAAGATAAATATTCTAGAATAGATGAATAATAGTCAATCTGGATTTTCAAAATATAAAGTAGAATAAAACAAGTAAAGTGCATTTTACATATAATATGACATTATTTGTGAATTTTACAAAACACATAAGTTTGTATAATGTTCCTGTATATAAATGTTGGTAGAAAAGTATTAAAAAATGTACCAGTTATTTACATTCCTTATACTAGTGGTTGTCTCTGGGAATTAAGGGCAGAGAGCACAGGAGATTTTGATTTTGTCTATAATGTTTTGTTCTCTACCCCTCAAAACAGCAAAAGGAATCTTTAGCTGATGATTTGTCTTTACATTACTTTTTGAGCGAGTATTCTTTAGGTTTTTTTTTTTAATTTAAAAAATGGAAAAATTGTTTCACATTTGATGCAAGGGCCAGCCTCAAATTACAGCCCTCTTCATCCTATCAATTGAATGTTCCAATGGATCGATATTTTATCTGGAAGCATCAGTTCGCACTAACTGTCAATCACATTCATTAGAAATACTGCATGGAGAAGGCACATCTCTGAATTGGCACCCTGGACCATACCTGGTTTGTTCCTAAGTACTTCTGTTTCCCTTATTGTAGAGAATATGTCTTTTTTTTTTTTAATCTCGTTATCTTTTTATTTTAAGACTGAACTTCTCCTCTCCTCATCAGAGTTTAGAACCCTCCTAAACCTGTTATTTTCTCTTGGTATTCCTTGAACTGCAGCACCTAAGGGGCTAGTGAAATGCATGTTTCACCTTACATTTCTATCCATAGACTGTATCAGTTCTAGAACGAGGCTCAAATCTAGGTTTTGCTTAGCTCTCTGAGTACATTTGCATACCTATGCTTTACAAGGAGTTAGTATTGCATAGGGGTTACTTTGTGAATTCAGGAGTTAGACTGTTTGGCTTAGCCTGTCAAACACTGTGACACTTTGAGTAAGTTATTTAATCACTTAAAACCTCAATTAACCATTTATAAAATAGGGATCATAAGAGCAACTCAAAGGGTTTTTGTGAGAATTAAATGAGTTATAGAGCAATTAGTGATGGTCTTGCTGCATGATACGCATTCAATAAATTTTATTTATTTATTTATTTATTTTGAGACAGTGTTTCACTCTTATTGCCCAGGCTGGAGTAAATAGCGTGATATCGGCTCACCACAACCTCTGCCTCCCGGGTTCAAGCAATTCTCCTGCCTTATCCTCCCAAGTAGCTGGGATTACAGGCATGTGTCACCACACCTCGCTAATTTTGTATTTTTAGTAGAGATGAGGTTTCTCCATGTTGGTCAGGCTGGACTTGAACTCCTGACCTCAGGTGATCCTCCCACCTCGGCCTCCCAAAATGCTGGGATTACAGGTGTGAGCCACCACACCTGGCCAATAAATAGCTATTATTATTTCAAGGTTTGAGGAATACTAGCATGGTATGCTATGGTATTGACTGTATTCCTACACACAATACTTGATTAGTCATTCATTCTGTGCAACTAAATCACCAGAACATAGTCACATATTGCAGCTCTAATACTGACAAATGAAGGAGGAATACTTTTTACACATAAGAGAGATGAATACCCAGAAATAAAAGACGTTGTGCAATTAAAACAAACCATTCCATGCAAATAAGTTCCTTCAAAAAATTCAAAAGGCGAATCATTTTGATCATTTTTTAATAGCAATGTGAAGTTCTGCATTTATCGCCTGATGAAATTCCTGAAATGTATTGTGCAACTCAAAAGGAGCCCAGACTTCTGAATAGGACACTGTAAACCTGATTTCAACAGATTGAAAACAAGATGTGACAAGCAGTTTGACACCGGCCCTCCAGTAATTTCCGCTATTTGTAAAGAGGCACATCTGAATGGAAATAGCTTTGCAGAATGGATCGGTATGGTTGGGGCCATGTCAGTCCACACATAAAACTGCAGTGCAGGGGAAAATAAGCAGCCATTGATTTCCTGTGAAAGCCCCCCCCGAGTCTGGGGAAAGCAGCCAATATGGGGCACCAGCTGCTCTCTGCTGGAAATCCTTTGTGGAGGGTATGAGGAGTGGGAGAAGGCTAGAGAAAGCTGGTGGATATAAAAGAGAGAGGAAAAAAAAAACAATCCTTATACACCAGAACTCAAGACAGAAGAGCTGTGATGACTGCCTGAGCCATGCTTCATTCCTCCAGCTAAGCATGCTTCTTTCTCAGAAAATGAAGGGGATGGGAGGGGAGCTTCAACAAACCCTACCTTTATTTATGCAACACGTTGGGAACAGTTCCAATGAGAATTTCTCATGCTCTTTCACGTTCCCTGAATTCTGTTGGTGGTGAGTTCTTGTTTTCTTTAAACTGCTCTGATCTAATAAGTATTTGCCTCAAAACCGGAACAAATACTCATTGTGATTGCAGGTCCTCATTTACATAATTGCATTATGACAACAACTTTGGGAGGATAATAAATGAGGAGTATTTTGATGTTTGCTGGCTCTGATGCATAAAATACTCCCAGATTCCTTTCTGAGTACCTCCATGACAATTTTGCTGAGTAAATGAGAATAAAAATCTCTTTCAAGTTTGGGCAGTGGGCAATCATTCTTTGTTTGCAACTCAGACACTGCAAACAGTGTGTCTTGCAATGGAATCAAGTATTCATAAAGGTGTTCCAAGAAAGCACTGAACAATAAGTTTCAGATGTCCTCCGAAGTTGGAAATATTTGGCAGTGTTTCTCCTTTATGAATGTTAGCTGTGAGGACTGCTATAGAGAGAAATTGGCCAGGAATAAAAAGTATTTTTTCCAAAGCAGTTTGGTCATTTGCCTAGGGAGTCATTGAAAAAATATGGAATATTCTAGGGGATGGAATTGTCCTGCAATGTAAATAGCAAGCCATCAGAAAAAAATATGTTTTAAAAAATAAAATAAGACATCTTATACTAGAATATCTAATCTTTGTTGGATTTTGCTATATTTTTATTTGTAATGTTATGCAAATAACTTACTTAAAATATTTGATGACTAAATTTAAGGACATTGTCTATAGCTTAAAAGTAGCATCTATCAGACATAGAGATATATTTAAAGCAACTTTAAAATTATAGCAAAAATCCATTTATTTGTAGTTTACTGATAATGAGTATTATTTTTATTGAAAAGGAATAGAATAACATTTTAAGTTTTTATTAAAAATGCAAAAACAGTTTGCTAAGTAACTTACTTGTATAAACAAATTTTAGTTCTCTTCAGGACTCAGGACAAATCAACCATCTATATTTCACATGCTAATGCCAAATGATTTATTCATTATCTTCAAGAGGCGTGCCACATCTCTGTTTGGCAGCTTATTTTACTGTGTATTTAGAAAATAGTAAGGCCATTTCTCTAAAAAATATTTTATATTTTAAATGTTTCACATTTTATAATTTAAATCATAGTACTACTAATTCACTCCAGTAAGTGAAATTTCTCTATACTGAACTATCCTGGTTACTTTTACATGCTTCTCTCTTTTTATCCCAAGTGACTTCTACAATTCCCTTTCCCAATCCTATCTTTGCTACATGGAATGCTTGTAGGTGGTTAGGGAGTAGAACTTGTCTTCCATCACTAGTCCTGCAGGGCCTGAACTAAGCCAGCTGCATCATTGGTGATTCAGGAAAATATTGATTGCCCTATATAGCATAAATAAATGCAGCCTGCTAATGACTCCTTTATCCAGAATGTGGATATTGACAATAAAGCATTTTTAGAGAATATCTGGTGGCTCTGAATCCTAGAGACACAAATTCTGGCCTATGACCAGAGACTATCTCTAAACAAATTACACAATAGCCTTTAAATAAAATCAAGTTACCATTCTATAGTTTCTGAATCAGCAGAAAAACAATGGATGCTAATTCTTTTTATTCTCATGTTTCACATCCTCTTGGTTTGTAATTAATGAATGACTTTACCCTATGGAGTATGCAGGCTATTTGGAAATTTTGATTCTAAGCTGCTCAAGGACAACCTATAGGCTACTTACAGCTGAACTATGTGAGATTTGGCTCTTGTGCCCACAACATAAAATTGAGCAGTTCTCATGCAAAAGTCAGAGAGACAAAAAGGGGAGGTCAAAAGTGTGATAATAACTAGCTAAGAGTCAGCATGCTCCATAATAGTCACAAAGACCCAACTGTATACGTACTCTATAAACAATAATCCAAATAGCAATACTTTTGTTATTCACCAGGTATCTCAGTAATGACTCATTTCAAAACCTATACTTACCTTTTTTCTTTCTTAATGCATCTCCAAAATTCTATCTATGATTATTTTCATTTTACTTGAAAACCATCTCTCAATATTTCCTTTAAAGAATTCTGTCATATGATCTTGGTCTCATAATATTATTGTACCTTCATTGCTGAAAGGTATTATCTTGGAAAAAAATATTCCAGATAAACAGTAATTTTCATGCTGCAATTTAAAGCTATTCTTTCATTGTCCTCTGGCTTTCATCGTTTCTGTTGAAAAGTAGGATATTTGTTGTCCCAATTGGAGATCACTTTTTTTTGTTGTTTTGTTTTGTTTTTTGAGACAGATTCTCACTGTGTTGCCCAGGCTGGAGCGGAGGGGCATGATCTTGGCACACTGCAACCTCCGCCTTCTGGATTCAAGCTATTCTCATGTCTCAGCCTCCCAAGTAGCCAGGATTACAGGCATGTGCCACCATGCCTGACTAATTTTTGTCATTTTAGTAGAGATGGGGTTTTGCCATGTTGGCCAGGCTGGTCTCAAACTCCTGGCCTCAAGTGATCCACCCACCTTGGCCTCCCAAAGTGCTGAGAATACAGGTGTGAGCCACTGTGCCCAGCCAAGATCTTTGAAATTTCATTTTTTTTTCTACTCTGGGCATTTTAAGGATTTTTTTCTTTCATGTTTTTGTAGGTATTCTAGGATGGGCCTGGGTATTTGGAGTTGATGAGGCCTCTTGAATGTGTAGACAGATTGTTCACTAGTTTTGAAAGTTCTCAGTCAGTATCTCCTGAAAGAGAACTCCTGCTACATTCTCTCCTATTTTTGTAAAAAGTTAAATTATAAATATTTTTAAATGTTTTTAATGTATTATTTAAGTCTTTATTATGCAGTTTTCATCACTTTAGCTCTTTATTCTTCATTGTAGATAGTTTCTTCTGACCAATTTTCCAATGTCCTAATACTCTCTGCAGCTATGTCTAACCCACTATTAATCTCATCTAATGACTTTGTAATTTCAGATACTGCATCCTTCAATTCTACTATATTTTTAAGGGTTTTTTCAAAGAATTTTCAATATTGTCTTTTCCTGCATAGAGCAAGTAAACTAAAATACTGTCAGATAATTCATATATGTTTTTCTCTGTAAGTCTTTGTCTGTTGTCTTCTATGTTTTCTGAGTTTTTCTTTTTTTCCATATTTTCTTATGTCCCTTTATTCCTAATATTTCATTTTCAAAATTGTTTGTAGAAATAATTTGAGCTTAGGGCAATCTTATCTTTCAGCAGGAATAATTTTCACTTGTTTCTACCAGTCAACTGGGAGTCCTAACTTATTGGGCTTAGCTGAATAAAATTTAGAGACTGACATTTTTTAAGCTGAGCTACATTGTTTGCATGTACCTGTCTACTTTTGGTTTACTCTTACTCCTGGAAAGAGTACTTTTGGTTCCCACCTTATAGAGAAGGCTTAGTAGTCCATTATTCCTAACTGGTCCTAGACTATGTGCCTTTCCTGTCAGCTCTATTTAGCTGTGACTCTCAAAAGTGACATCTAGTGTCTTAGTATCTCAGAAGCAGGAGGAAAAGTAACCTTGAAAACATGACTCATGTTTTTTGGCAGAAATTCTCTCCCAGATCTGGGCCAGCAATTCTTTGCAATCTTGGTATCTTCCTGAAACCTCAAAGAAATTATTTTTAATAGTACTCAACCTTTACAGTTGTCCTTAGTGGGAAAGTCCTCCCAGTTTAATAGACTTCTGTTAATAGAAGATGTAGTTCCAAATTAAACTTAATTGAAGATCTGAGCTCTTTGCTCTGTATGACCATTCCCTGTTTCATGAAGCAAAATATAGTGCATGTATTCAACCAATATTAGTGTGTGGCTTTAGAAAAAATTGTGTCTCAACTTATTCAATTTTCTTAGAGATCTTATACATTTAACCTTATCTTACAGATGCCCCTATTTTTAATTTTTCTTCTGCTTTTTGGCTCCTTCTCATTAGAATAGCTGTTTTTACTATCTACTTTATCTTCTAACTACCTTCACCTTATTATGTGACCTGAGCTACTCATTATGAGCAGAATGTTGTCAGAGCCACCAACCCATAAAGTTGGCATGGCCAGAGAATTAACCATCAGGCAATAAAAATACAAAAATATTAATAAAACGTAAACCAATAATGCAATAGAGATGATGAATTAAGTAAAAATTGGTTATTAAAACTCCTAATAAAATAGACATAGCTCCAGAAATATTAATCAAAGAAACAGAGAATTTATAAATAAAAATTATTAAGAATGATAAAAACCCATAGGTATAGATGATGCCAAAATCATAAAGAAAATGAATGAAAATTATTAATGCCTTTATGACAAGAAATTTGAAAACCCAGATGAGATTAATATATTTCTAGGAGAATATAACTTATCAAAGCTAATTGCAAAATAATTAAAAATTCTGCATGACTTGTTAAAAAATTTTCCATAAGGAAACCAAGGAACTAAATATTTTAAGAACAAGTTTGTAAAATTTTCAGCAATCTTACAGCAATTTTTCCGTAAGTATTAACAGAGGGCGTACACCCTGTTCATTCCATAAGACCAATATAATCTTGACACCAAAATTTGAATTCTGACAAGTATTGGTAAGGATACAAAAAAATGGAAACCATTATGTACTACTACTGAAAGTATACACCAATATATTCATTTTGCAATATCTGAATGTGTAGGATTACATTCCTAGCTATATATCCTAAGTAGAGTTGCTTAAAATCTTTTCACTAACTTTACATTGTGACTAGGCACACACATACACATACATAGAGATGAAATATAAAGCAATCATCACTCTTATTATGTCTAATGTTTTCAATATGTTTAATTCTATTCCTTCACATTTTAATAAAATTGTGGTTAAGTATGGCTAAGTTGATATCATATTCCACTAATGGTTCTCAGATCTCATTTTGAAGAACTTGACCCTAGAGAAACTTTTACAAATGAACAATAGATGTGCAAATTACTATTAGCACCATCTATCAAAATAACAAAAATATGCAAAAAATCAAAATGTCAATCAGTAAACACATGTATAAATAAATGTGAGGTATTTATAAAATGGACTATTATAAATCAATCAAAATGGTATAACTATTATTGCACACGTCAATAAGAATGAATCTTAAAATGTAATATAGATAAGGGCTGGGTTGACCCATGAGTTGTAATTTACCAACTGCTGGTTTAAAGAATGTCTGAATGAATAAATTGTTGGTAACAAAAACAGTTCCTTAATTTCGAGAAAGAAAAAATCATGTTTATGTTATTAAGAGGATTATTTTATAATACTTGAGGTTTAATCAAGAAAAAGATAAAAATATAACGTAGTCATACGAAGATGCTAGAGTTATATTGAGCTAAAAAAGCAAATTATAATAGAATACATATTGTGGCCGGCGTGGTGGCTCACGCCTGTAATCTCAGCACTTTGGGAGGCTGAGGTGGGTGGATCACGAGGTCAGGAGATCGAGACCATCTTGGCTAACATGGTGAAACCCCGTCTCTACTAAAAACTACAAAAAATTAGCCGGGGTGGTGGCGAGTGCCTGCAGTCCCAGCTACTCAGGAGGCTGAGGCAAGAGAATGGCGTGAACCTGGGAGGTGGAGCTTGCAGTGAGCCGAGATCGCGCCACTGCACTCCAGCCTGGGCGACAGAGCGAGATTCCGTCTCAAAAAAAAAAAAAAAAAAAAAGAAAAGAAAAGAAAAAACAGAATACATACTGTGTGAGTCTAGTAATATCAAGTGTAAAACCAGATGAAAGTAGATCCTAAATTGGATATAACACATATGAGTTCCCTGGAAGAAAGCATTTTCTTGTGGATTTGAGATTTCAAAAAATTTTAACACAAAGTCTGTTGCTACAAATGGCTGAATTACAATGTAAACTGACTCCTCACCCTTGCAGTATCTCTTATTTAAAGTTAGAATACTATGGAAAGAGTGGGACCCAAAAAGTCCAGATGGATGAAGACACCTCCACAATTTCCTTAAACATGAGGTCATCACTTTTACATAGTTACAGTAACTTTAGATCTTTGATGTTGAGCAAACTAACCCTCTTAAATACTTCCTATGATATTATTATCAAAGTGGGATAAGAAAATGGAAAAGAAATTTTTCGTTTCTTTTCCACTACAATGCTATGACAATGAGTAAAAGACAATTGAATCTAGTATGGACTAAAATCCATACTAGATTGCTTTATCAAAACTATGTTTTCACTTAGTGACCCACATATAAGTCAACTGGTATTTAACTTCTACTATAAACTCTACCAAAACTAAATTGAACCAATCTGTCCTTTTATTTGACAAATATATAAGTACCCACAGTGTGCTGGGTATTGTATTATAAACTCAATCACATACCTTATATTATTCTAAAATAATTATAAATAACTTTTATTATAGAAATGACATCACTTCAATACATCTGAATTTATATTTCCATGTATTTCTTCTGTTGCACTTACTCACCAAAGTGTAGCTAATTTGCTTGCTAGATTTGCAGTCATTGGCTATCTCCATCTCTTCCACATTATTTATGAATCCCTGCCTTTAGTATTCTATTAATTGTTTGCAGATATCTTGTAGCCATGTTTTTATTATAAGTTACTTCATAACAGTTTTGAAGGAAGGGAGAGTATAACAAAGTTATAACTGAAAAATTATTTAATGATTCTGATTCGCATAAAAATCACTGACATATTTAAATAGCAGATCTCTGGACCCCTTGGAAGGTTTTTCTAAAAACTTCAGTTTAATACCTGAGTCATGATTAAAGAAATAAACAACAGGCCAGGTGCGGTGGCTCACGCCTGTAATCCCAGCACTTTGGGAGGCCGAGGCAGGTGGATCACCTGAGGTCAGGAGTTTGAGACCAGCCTGGCCAACACGTGAAACCCCGTCTCTACTAAAAATACAAAAAAAAAAAAAAAAAAAAAAAAGAGCCAGATGTGGCGGCACGTGACTGTATTCCCAGCTACTTGGGAGGCTGAGGCAGGAGAATCGTCTGAACCTAGGAGGCGGAGGTTACAGTGAGCCGAGATGGTGCCACTGCATGCCAACCTGGGCTACAGAGTGAGACTCTGTCTCAAATAAATAAATAAATAAATACACAAAAGAAATAAACAATAAAACAAAAATGCAGCCTTATTAAGATGAACAAAGTTAAGTTCACCTTTGTGTTGAAGAATGCCCATCTAATTTTCTACAGCACAGAGGAAAGTGATTCCAGGTTCAGAAGAAAGCCTATCTTTTTAATATATTAGAGGTCAGAAGAGAAACGTCAAGGAGAGTAGTTAGAATGCATGTTGTCCCTTTAGACACATTGAAGACATTTACGTGTATTTCGAATTTATATTTCTGAAATTAGAATGTTATACACAGATTAATTGAAAGATACTTGTTTTGTGTTTTATATTTATCTATGGACGGGCACATCAAAGCCAAGGTCTAAAGTGGTTAGGGCAGGCCAGTTAGAAGATGACTGGCTTGATGTCATAGAATAAAGTTAACTAGAAATAGTCATATAAACCTTAAGTGTTGCTGCTTCAAAGAAACTGAATAGAAATATATTGTACATAGGTGTCTGCAATGTCATCATCATCTTTGTGCTCAACCTTCACAGTACAAAAAAATGTGATATTTTGATTTCCCACTGGAGAAGAAATATATAAAATAATTTTCAGGTATAACGAAAGCCTTTAAAAATCACATAAAAAATTGATTTTTTTCTCCATCTGCAGATATCTCACTTTGAAATATAATCCTCTGGTAGAATATTGATGGATAGCTTCCTCATGATGTGGTCTTTGAAGACAATAATATTAGGAGTCATGAGCATTAGAGAGTAGATTAAAATTTTTGTGCTCTTTGTCACTGTACTGAAGAATACATGATAGGTTTCTTCAAATATTATTTTAATTAATGGAGAATGCCTTCCTCTTCAGAGCTTATATTATCTATTTGAATAATATGTCTAGTTTGTGTCCTTATTCTTCCTACTCATATTTTCTGCTACTAAATGCATCATAATTTAACTACGGAATTTTGGAAATTTTCATCACCGTTACATTTTTGGTGCTCAGCACAGTGGTTAATATAAAATAGGTGCCCAATAAATATCTGTTTAACCTAAGGGTTGGTAAACTTTTTCTATAAAGTTTATATTATTAATATTTTAGGTTATGCCTGGGCTTTGTCATAGTTACTCAATTCTGCTTTTGTAGTGAGAAAACAGCCAAAGACAATACATGAACAATTGAGAATATCTGTTTCAAGCAATCTTTATTTACAAATATGGGCGAGGTTGACCTATGAGCTGTAATTTACCAACTGCTGTTCTAAAGAATGTCTGAATGAATAAATTATTGGTAACAAAAACAGTTCCTTAATTTTGAGAAAGAAAAAAATCATGTTTGTGTTGTTAGAAGGATTATTTGATAATACTTGAGGTTTAATCAAGAAAAAGATAAAGATATAACGTAGTCATACAGAGATGCTAGAGTTTTCTGAAATGATAGCCTCAGAATCCAATGAGGTATATTTTGTTCACTCAGAGCCAGTTTCCTAAATAAATGATAAATAGAAACAGAGAAGATCCACAAGCACTGACAGTGGACCCCAATCCATTTCTTGAGAAGAGCAAGATTGTATTCTATTCAGGATCCTTAAAATAGATATCCTGGTCTAAATCTGGCAGAGACTGAATAAATTGAAAAATGAGATAAATTATTTTTAATATAATTTTTATTGTGTTAATTTGTGGCCCACTCTTTTTAGAATTGCTCATAAAGAAGACTGCCAAATTATGTAAAATATGCTGAGAAGGCTTGCTCTAGTAACATTCCAGAATACAGTCTATAGCGTCCATGGTGACTACAATAGCTAATTATCCCCATATGTCACATTCTTGGCAGTAATGACATTTTAACAGATTCCAAAACCTATGCATTCTCTTCTAAGTTCTTTACTTGGGCATAGAACATGCCCGGTGTTAAAATAGCTTCAGCTAAATAGTCCAAATTTTAGGAAAATATCTGCATATTTAGGAGAATAATTATGCATGGCCTTTTATGGGTGTGATAAACTATACCATCAAAGAAAGTGTATCCTTTTGTCATACAGGCCATTACCAACAGCAGATTACACATTATATATAAGGCATAGTTTAGATAGAAGCCTAAAAATTCCTTGGGTTACTGTGCAGACTTGTCACATCAGAAATGTTCTAACCTTAATACAGGTTATAATTAGGACACATTTATTCTTTCTTATTTCCTAGGTTATGCAAGTAGATTTGATACCTGGTCACTTGTAGGATAAAGACGGGACAGCAGAAAAGCACGTAACCTCTGATTAAATCGTTTTTCAGGGCAGAGTGACCTTTGTGCCACTTGCTTGTAGTGAAGAAAGATAGAACTTCTTCAGCTCAAAATAAACAGTTCTCTCTGGAAGTCAGTTTTCTGAGTAGTCTACATACGGGCTTTTTTGAAATGAGGCTTGAGCTGGTTTCAGACTCAAACTGGTATTAATTGCCAACCACTATGATACTTTTAGGGTATTAGGGATGTATATGTTGGAGGACAGGAGAAAAATGGAGATTACCTAGAGATGAGAGATAAAAGTCCTGCGTCAGGGAATTTGGGGCTGAGAGGCAAAACTGAATTCTTTTATTAAACATGTTCCAGAGAAACAAGAGTGAAAGCTTCAAAACATGTGAGTCTGAGAAGTATGTACTTCTCTATCTCCATCATTCTACTTGTTTTGTGTGTGTGCGTGAGTTTCTGTGTGTGCATGTGCACATGAGCATGTGTAAATGGCCTTTGGGAGTAAGATTTTCAGATATTCCCCCTAAGTCTCATTTCTTATTAAGTTTCTATCTCTGAACTCAACAGCCTCTAAGAGCTATGTATATCAAAAATGCCTAGGCACCTGAATTCTGAGAGACATAGAGTTTTGGCTGTACTAACAGCTATTTTACATGACAATATTAGATTAATCATGAGAGTCACCAAATAGTTGATTAGATACTACTTTATAATTAATATGGGATTAAGCTTGCAATCAGTGGCATAATTAACATATATGTCAACACTTCCTTCTTCTGTATGAAAAAATATTTTCAATAATAATCATGTAAAACAATAATTATATTTTTTCTGGATTTATTAAACATTGTATAACAATTATAGAAGATTAATAAATATCAATTTTAAAGACTTTCAAATTAAGTAAAAGATTTAATGTGTGAACTAAGATTTACACATCTGAAACAAAAATATTACACTTCACAGTTCATATTCTAGTTCACTGTTTTAAATTTTAAACACCATTAAAAACTCTAGATGGTTACAAAGAATGATACAACTGATATAACTCAAGTTCTGTCTCTTCATCTTTCCCATCAGGGTGCTAATATTTTTAACTTAGAATCAACTGTTTAAACAAAGGAATATGTGGTGCTACAGAGGCTGGAGGTACTGTGGCCAACACAAGGTTGAACAAGGTTGAATTGTGATAGTCTTAGTTCTAAGGCAGATGTGTAAGTGAGTCCACAGATGTCATGGTATCAGACCTGATGAGGTAAGAGTAATTGTCCAAATTAACATCCCTGTGGAATACACTTTTTTCTATAGGGCAAATGATAAATATATGCTATTTTGAAGGCTGACTAAATATTATTGAAATTCAGCAGTAAACAAAGCAACTGTTTAGAATTTGGCCAACAAAATATTTTTTCAGGAAAATACTTTATCACTGATAGCATTTAAATGTCTGGCTCATAGTGATAAAAAGAGACTGGCTTTTGATTGAGTTCTTATTGTTTGTTAATTCTCTAGATGTGACTCATACTGCTTTATTGTTGGCACTCAGGTTGATTATTTGTGGGAGGGATGTTTTACATCTCATATTCTGCAGAGGTGGCTATTTAACCAGAACTTGTTAGCTCTCCACAGAAAAGTGCCAGCTTTAAGTTAAAAAGAAGACATCTTCGGATATTATGAGCTTTGATATCAGCGAACTTAAATTTTATCTCACAAATTACTGGCTAGGTAATCAATATACTGATGGTTATTTTAAGCCATTTCTGACCTTACTTTGCTAAGTGGAGTGAATATGAATATACATATATGGGTGACATGTGGGTGACAACAAAAAATGCTTGTCAAATGAACACTAAGAGGAAAATGAACTGAGATAAAGCCAAGACAAAGAGAGAAAGATACCTTTGAAAGAAAAATCAGATTTGTGCTCTTTCTAATCCACAGACAGCCAAGAAATGGAAGATTGTGCTTGTGTGTCTGAGAAGAGGGTATAATTCACAAGAATCTGGTTCTAGCATGCATTTGTATTATAGCATGTATCAAGACGCACACTTTCAATTTTTTTCTCTGCAAATGTTTGTAAGGCTGAGCATTTGTACCATAAGAAAATGTAGTCTGTTTTTCATTTTTCTTCTTGAGTTGTATTTAAATAGCATGTTCATATTTTATGACCTCTAATCGGAAGGGAATTTAAGCTACTTTGTCTATTCATATTATTCTGGGGCATTTTACACTCAGGGCTGCAAATTGTATACTTAAAATCTTTTATTGGAAAAGATGTCGTCCTTTGTTTATGAGTGCATCAATGATTATAGAAACAGGCAGCTCCATCCCAAAAGGAGTGTGCTGACCAGGATGTATAATTTGTCTCACATGCCCCAAATAGAGTCAAAACATTCATAATTTAAACCTGACTAGATGGAGTTCTCTAGCTGTATTCCATAACAGACCCTCAGAGAAAAGTTCTGAATATGCTCTCAAGTCCCATAACAACTTGAATGATGATTCCAATTATAGAGATGATGATTCTTATTATAGAGAAATGATGATTCTTATTATAGAGAATAAAAAGTTTTCAATAACCCCCCAAATTTCTTAAGAGACAACCCACAAATGCTTTCTTCATGATATACTATTCCAACAATGGAACGAAAGTTTGACTTTTTCATTGTCTTTTTCAATCATATCAGTATGAATATAATTTGGGTCGAAAATATATATTGACTTTAGATTGTGATATTTGTTTTGCTTTAAAAAACATATTGAACCCAATTCTCCCCATGTGTAAAAGACACCTACATCCAACTACAAGGGCAAAGGTATTATAAACATAAGGATATTTATACTCCAATTTCCCTTCCCTTATTTAAAACTCAATTTAGATTCTCCTAAAAAGCAGCAGAAAAGACTTTACAGCTTAGGTTTACAAAAATGTTTTTCTGTGTACTAAACTAAAGGAAAAATAGGTAAAATAAAATTATAAAACAACACTCAACTTTGATTAGAACATGCTTATTCAGTGACCATGTTTTACACACTATGTGAATGGAGAAAAACCAAGACCTTCGCATTCTACAAAGAGACTCATAGTTAGCTAGACTTAGAATGCAGATTTTATTACTCTCTCCAAGTGGGTCACCAAATTATTCCTTTTAATCACAAACAGTATGCTTCCAAGCTGACCTTACTTGTTACTTCTCTCTCAATCTCTCAGCAATTGAGTGATAGGCCTACCAAACTTCATCTGGTTGAAAGTTCTAAAATATGTTGGGGTTTGTGCCCTGTAGAAATGCAGAATTTTTAGATAAAAGACTTATCTGAATATGTAATGGAAGTGATGTATATACACACAAAACATTACATACGAATTCAGGGGGATTACTGACCCCTAAAACCTGGTCATAGATCCCATTTTGAGGTCCTCTGCTCTAGGGAACCCATGAGGAGTGTTTGTTTACTCTTAGCACAAAGCATCTCATATTGCAATTTTACTCAGAGAAGATGGCAACACTCAGCTTCATCCAGGTAACTCAATACGTTCTTTTACATTAAAAAAGAATGTCTGAGGAAGATGTTAAAACAAGTAAGTATTGTTTGGTTTTTAAACATCTGTCAATATACAAAAAAAAAAAGAAAAAAACAACTCAGTTTAGGAAAGTTTTTGTTGTTGTTGTTCTGTATGTTGTTGGTTCTGCAAAAAAGGAATAACTATAAATTCAGTGGATTATCAGGACATCACCTCCCTCAAGACAGCAGACTTACCAAGGGTCACAAAACAAACATGGAAACAAGCAAATGAACTGGCACTGTGAAAACCAAACATCTTTTATCTTGTCACTAAAATCTAGGTGATTCCTGGAGCACCTAATATGTAACTATGTATTAGTTACAAGTGAAATGCACAACTTCATGTTGAAATGTGGGGAAAGGTTTATTTTTTACTTCGATAACTGTGTCATTGGTTTTGTTAGAGTAGGTAGTTAGGCAGACATGAGCAGGGCAGAACCCTTCCTCCACTCACCACCATGATTATCAGGTGACCATAAGGTGATGGTAAGGTGGTTGTTAAACTGTCTCTCTCTAAAATAATAATTGGATGCAGCCAGCACCAGGGAAAGGCAATCTCCCAATAGATAAAAAACACCAGAAGCTGGTGATCAGCAGCTTTCCGATAAGGTCATAGGAGTTGGGCGAGTGGGCTCAGGCATGTGCACTAAGAGGAAAAATGGCAGTTTAACTGGTATATGACTTCCCTCTGGGAACACTTGACTAGTAAGGGAAATGGCTCAAATGAACATGTGCACAATTTCAGTAAACACACTGCGCATGCAGCCCCTCCCAAGGGTTGACAGGCCACTGTCCATGGGGACAGCCCACCCCAGGGGAAGAATTAGGGGAGAAGAGATGCAAGACCCCAGAAGCATGACAACATGTAAAACCCCAAACCAAAGTGAAACCATGTACTTGAATCTCCCAACTCTCCCACTTGGCCTTCTTCCAAGTATTCTTTACTTCCTTTCATTCCACTCTAAAACTTTTTAATAAACTTTGACTCCTGATTTAAAACTTCCCTCCGTCTCTCACTCTGCCATATCCCCATTGGGTGAATTCTTTCCTCTGAGCAAGAATTGAGTTGCTGCAGACCCACATGGATTTGTGCTGCTAACAGTTTTGAATAAAAAAGTTAAAATGAATCTTATTCTCAATCAAAAGTTAAAATGTGCTATATGGAGTGGAAATGGGTCTGATATGTAGAAAACACATAATTTATTTCTAACATCATTTAAATGTGCATGTCTGCTCTTTTTAAAATAATTAGTTTTGCTCCAATCTGCAGTCAGCTACAATGCAATTTATTTGCATGGTCCTTTGGACTTGTTCATGGTATCTGTTTCATATAGTATTATAACTGCAATTGTAAATACATGAATTCCTTGTCTTTTTCCAAGATAACACTTTTTATGGCGAATTTTTTCCTTTTTTAAATGCTGCTCCTTCTCAGGCCCTGTGCAGAGTATCTGCATTTGTTCACTTAATACAATCACCCTATGTGAAGAAGCTAATTATTGTCCTTGTTTCAGATGGGAAAACAGACACCAAGAAGCTGAGTTGCTTCAGGCAATAAATTAAGTCACATTGAAGCTGAAATTTAAAGACAAAATCCCCTGACCCCAGAGCTTGAGCTCTTAGCTACCATTTATCATATATTATGTGAAGTAAATTATTTACCTTGAATTATCTAAACATCCTTCCTTCCCCACATCTTTTCTCGCCTTGCTTGGCAGAGGTATTAGAGTGAATGATAATAAAGACAGTCTCTGTTTGAAAGATCAAAAATCCAAGTTCACTATCATTGTTTACTGTCATAGGCCACCAACAGAGCAGCATATCAAAACTGGTCCCTTCAAATTCTAAGACAAGGCTGGTGGCTGTGCTGTTTCTTTATATCATACAACATCATTCTAGTCCCTTGATTTACAAAATGACTTATTCAAAGGATTCTTAGTTACAACACTTACTTATTGTTGATGAGTACTAGGAAACAGTATGGAAAGCTTGTCCATATTATTTTTTTATTTTTTAGTTTGTAAAGCAATTAAGGCGAAAGTTATCTCAGGCCTTTTTGCAGCTATAAAATATGAGAGGTTTTTACACATAAAATTATAATTAAAAAACGTTAAAATAGCCCATAATCTCACCATCCAGATAAAATAAATTGGCACAATATTTATGCAGGTTTTCTTATCTGTATCTCTAAATAGTTATGCTTAGAGTAGTTAAATCATAAAGATGAGCAACATGTGAAAAAAAGAGCTTCCTTTCTTATATCCCCAAACCCTTTATCAAAGATATCTACTGTTAATCATTCCTTGTGATTTCTTCTAGAAATATATTTTTTTGTGAGCGCGTCTTATTTTATTTACACAAAAAGAATTAAACAAGCTTCCATTTTCTGCCCCTGAATATCTTCGTTTAACATACCAAATATTTTTCCATATTAATACATAGAAATCTACCTCAATCTTTTAATGCCTTATTATTTCTTTTTTTAAAAAAACTTAATTTTATTTAAGTTCCAGGATACGTGTGTAGGACGTGCAGGTTTGTTACATGGGTAAACCTATGGTGGTTTGCTGCAACTATCAGCCCATCACCTAGGTATTAAGTTCAGCATCCATTAGCTATTTATTCTGATGCTGTCCTTCCCCTGAATCCCCTCCCTGTGATGTTCCCCTCCCTGTGTCCATGTGTTCTCATTGTTCAGCTCCACTTATAAACGAGAACATGCAGTGTTTGGTTTTCTGTTCCTGTGTTAGTTTGCTGAGGATAATGGCTTCCAGCTCCATCCATGTCCCTGCAAAGAACATTATCTCATTCCATTTTATTAATGACTTATTATTTCTTAATTCAGATACCTCATAATTAAATTGGTTTATATCACATAGGTGGATATGTAGACTATTTGCGGGGTTTTTTTGGTAGCAAAGTATCGTGCCAGAAATATTATTTTACATATATCTTGAAATAATTTAGTATGTAAATTTTCAGTCATCGCATTGCTGTGTGCATTTAAAAACCTACAATATGGTCAAATTGCTTTATGGAAAAGGTGAAATTTATCTTCCTCCAAGAATGTAAGGGATTGCCTATATTTCTAAAATTTACCACCATTAAACATTATAACTTAATGTGTTATTCTGATAGATGAAAAGAATCATGTCTTGCTGATTTAATTTGCATTAATTTAGTAATGCCATTGACCATGTTTTAACACATTTTTTGGCATTTTGGCATTTTTCCTCAAAGTGTCCTCTCACATTTTCACATTTTATTCCTATTAACCATCTTATTTATTTTTATGAACGCTTTGTAAATTAAAAAAAAAGTGACCTCTTGTAAGTATTACTAATACCCTTTCCAGTTTATCATTTGTTTTCTTTGACATTGCACTTTTCTTACCATGTGGAGGTTTTTCTTTTCTGAGTTTTATATTCTGTTTATAAAAAGTCCGCTCCACTAAAAAATAATTAAATTCCATTTTTAATACTCTGTATTAGTTTTGCAGGGCTGCTGTGACAAAGCACCACAAACTTCGTCACCTAAAACAACAAAAATGTATTTTCACACAGCTCTAGAGCGCAGACATCTGAAATCACGCAGACATCTGAAATCACAGGGCAGGGTCTTGCCCTGTGTGAAGTCCTTCCCCTAGCGTAGGATCCTTCCTTGTTTCTCCCAGCTTCTGGTAGTTGCCCACAAGTTTTGATGTTTTTTGCTGGTGGATACATTACTCTAATTTCTACCTCCATCATTATATGGACATTCTCTTTGCATGTCTATGTTCCTTTGCTTTTCTTGAAGAACACTAGTCATTGGATTATTACCCACCCTAATTCAAGATAACCTTATTTTAATTAAGCTAATTATATTGCAAATCCCTTATTTTCATATAAGTTTACATTCTAAGCTTCAGAGTGGACATGAATTTCGAGGGGTTCACTATTCAACCCAATGCTAACTCTTAATTTTGTTTTTTTACTTAATAATTTGGAAATCATTTTTGTTTAAGGAGTAGTTTTCAAACTTTAATATGCTTCAGAATCACCTGGAGGACTTGTTAAGTACACACAATTGGGACCCACACCCAGAGTTTCTGATTCTAGGTTGAGATTTAAGATTGCTGGTGGTCTGGGTGCCCACTTCCTAATGAGATTAATTATGTCCTTTCAGAATTCAAATATTGAAGTCCTAATCTCCAGTACCCAGAGTGGGACTGTATTTGGAAACAGGACCTTTAAAAAAGTAATTAAAGTAAAATGAAGTCATTAGGGTGGGCCCTAACCTAAAACGGCTGATGTCTTTTCTGATAAGAGAAAAGGATACTGAGGAAGACCACGAGGAAAAACCAGAAGATGGCCATCCACAAGCCTAGGAGAGTAGCCTCAGAAGAAACCATCCCTGCTGACATCTTGATCTTGGACTTCTAGACTCCAGAATTGTAAGAAAATAATTCACTGTTGTTTAAACCACCCAGTATTTTGTGTGTATTACGGCAGCTCTAGCAAGCTAAGGCAGAACAGTCGTGTAAAAGGAAAAGTTTCTGTTTACACAGTTCCAAATGGCAGCCTGTTATTCAAATACCAACCACTGAATGAGTCCTTCAGTCCCTCTGTATTAGTCCATTTTCACATTGCTATAAAGGAATACCTGAGACTTGGTAATGTATAAGGGAAAGAGGTTTAATTGACTCAGTTCTGCATGGCTGGAAGGCCTCAGGAAATTTGCAATCATGGTAGAAAAGGAAGAGGCATGTCTTACATGGCAGCAGATGAGAGAGAGCAAGTGTGTGTCAGCTAAGGAAAAACTACCATTTATAAAACCATCAGATCTTGTGAGAATTCACTCAGTATTGCAAGAACAGCATGGGGGAAACCACCCCAATAATCCAGTCACTTTCCAACAGGTCTCTCCCTAAACACCTGGAGATTACAATTCAAGATGAGATTTGGGTGGGGACACAAAGCCTAACCATATCACCCTCTTTCCCCACTGGTTTGCATCCTTGTAGTAAATCAAAATCCCATATTTATTATAATTTATTTTGGCCTCTATTCTGCTCCATTAAACCACTTTTTATTTATGCAGCTCCAAAGTACTTTAATATGTTGACACAATGAAAATTTAATATATTAATATGTCAAAGGTTTTGAAATTTGTATGATATTTTAATATCTAGCAAGATTATTCCCTTTTCATCTGTCTTCTCAGAATTGTTTTAGATATTTCCATCTCCTTTTCAAATGGGGACTTGATAACATTCTGCCTTTTGTTATTTAATTATAATCACATTTCATATACATATGAGTTTAGAATGAATTAATATTTATAAACTTCCTATCCAAGAATACATTCTATTTTTGCATTTACTTAAATATAATTTAATGTCATTTCATATATTTTTATGTAGAGTTCTCTATATAAGTCTTGAACGTTGTTATGTTTATTTCAACATATTATTACTTTGTATGTGAATACCAGTGCAAATGGGATTTTCTCTTCTATTGCACTCCATGTATGTTTCCTTTTTATATAAGAATATGATTACATTTAATGACTTCTATTATTATTTCTAACGTTTTTTAGTTGACTCGAAATTTCTAGGTAGACAGTTACATCATCTTATATGTTTTGATCACCCAATTCAATATTGATCACTTTAATATTTTCTATTGTCGATTTGTGCTGGCTAGTTATATCAGTCAGTATTTTTAAGTGAAGCAGTAGTACCTGATTCTGGTTTCTTTAATCAGAAAATGAATTTAGATAATAAAATACCTGGAAGAGTAACAGAAGACTGTCAGCAAAAACCAAAGCAAAATCATGTCATGCAATCTCTTTGGTGACAACCTTGCTGCCACTGCTCTACATAGATGCCATGGCAAGCACCACCTATCATGCCAGCACTTGATAGAGTACCTCTGAGCCTGGCATGGCTAGTTTGCTGCCACTGTCTGCACACCCTCCTTCCTTGATTTTCAATGCTCCTGGCTTCTTTGCATTGCAAAGCTCCAGTCAAATTCATATGCCTTTTTTCTACGGGCCATAAGGACCCAGAAAGTGAGAAACTGGCTCTACCAGTGGTATGAGCTCTGCATAATCAGATGCTAGAGCTCTGGACAAAAATGGTAAGGGTCGATTACATTAGTACTTCCAGATCAAGGTTAACTAAATATGCTAATAGGGGGTGTTATGAGCTACAATCCTCCCCCGGCTCCTTGATTTTTTTTGGTTCTTGGCTCCAATAGAATAGTTCAAATTTTTATCATGAAAAATCATGCTCACTTAAGATGACATATATATATATAATTTCATGTTAGAGTTAGTCCTAGTTTTAGTCTACTGATAAGTTTTTAAAATCAGAAATAGATTTTAAATTTTGACAAACATCTATCTCACTGACATTTATTAAGAAAATGGTATTTGTTTTCATTTGACTTATCAGTTATGTATTGCATTATTGACTTCCTGTTATTGAGTAATTCTTATATTTTTGTTATAAACTTCCTATGATCCTAAGGAGTTATTGTTTTCATCTACCACTGACATCCATATTTCCCTTTGAAAATGTTGGATTAGAAATAAATATTCATTTGTGAGACTGGTTAGTATTATCTGTGGCGTATTTGTCACACATTATATCAGTGTTTACCTGACTTCAAAAAAAAAAACAAAGATTTGATTCTTTCACTGTAATGTAATACAGCGTGAGATTTATTTATTAAGTAAAACAACAAAGGAATTTTTGTGTTAAACTGCTTATTTGGAAGCACATATGTTTTAGTGTTTAATTGTAGCTTATTTTCACAGAAAATAATCTAATTTAGCTTAAAAATTTATACAGAGCTTTTAAATAATTCCATTGTCATTTTTTAACTTTTCTCAAGATCTATGATTAGTGTTCTATTATTTCTAATTTGGTAATTTTTTGCTTTGCCTTTTATTCTTAATTAGTATGTTTTATGATCTATTATATTTTCTTTCCAAATAATTACCTCTTCCTCTAGTTCCAGCTACTGGGAGACTGAGTTGGAAGGATCACTTGATCCCAAGAGTTTGAGTCCTGCCTAGACAACATAGAAAGACCCCATCTCTAATAAAAAAGAAACTTAAAAATATTTTTTAAAGCTACCTATTTTTTAATGCTATTTTTTCTATTTCTTATAGAAATAAAAAAAGTTATAGATTTATAACTATCAGCAACTTCTTTCTTTCTACAGAATCATAATTGTGTTCTATAGGTCATTTTTAAAGCTATCTTCTTGATTCAGTCACCGAATTGATTCACTGTGATTTGTCTGGTTCAGTAGCACATTTTCCTCTGTGGCATAGCTTTAGCCATATTATATAGGTTTTGATATGTTTCATTAATTTCTACTAATTTTGCAATTTGAGTTTTGGTTTCTTCTTTAACCTTGGGATTGCTTGAAATGTATCTTGACATTGTTTTTGTTTATACTTTTGTTATTAATTTTAAGAATTTTTATAGTGAAAATGTCTGCAGTACCTACATTTTGGGAAATATATGAACATTTCCATTATGTCGTAAAGTACAATCAATTAAAAAATATTTTATGGCTTCCATAAAATAACATATAGCTTTTCTTTGAGAGATGTAGAATTTGACTTGAACATTAACATAAATATATTTAAATAAAATAAATCTATAAATGAATATAAATATAGCATACTATATATAAATAATATATTTAGAAATGCTACATATTTTTGTTGTTTTACTAGACTTTTCATGAGCTTATTGATGTAAATTAATATCTTCTTTCTATTGATTTTTTTAGTGTATTTTCTACATTTCATTATTTAGGTACTGTGATGCTTTGTTATTTGTTGGATAAAGATTTATTATTAGAGTTATAACCTCATCGTATGTTCTTTTTGCTTCATTAACTTTTTTTGGATTAAACTTCCTTTGAAATCAATAATATTTCTATAACTTTCTTCTTAAAATTATTGCTTTGCTGTAAATCTGTCCATCTTTTTACTTTTAATCTTTCTTAAGCAGTTTTTGTCTTTACGTGTTTTATATAGAATATAGGACAAATTAAGCAGTTAAGCAGTTTTTGTCTTTACATGTTTTATATACAATATAGGACAAATTATACATTTTTGAACCAATTTAAATCTTTTTATATTAAGTTAGGATGTTTTACTCATTTTTGCCTTCAGGTTTTTATGTGATTATTCTTTAGCATCAAGTTTTCAAACATTTGCCTATTAAAATTTTATTTCCATGTAAATTCATCTTCAGATATACAAACATACATTTTTTCCCGTGTTCAATCTGCTTCTCCTGTTTTTTTTTTTTTTTTTTTTTTTTTTTTTTTTATGGAGTTTCGCTCTTGTTGCCCAGGCTGTAGTGCAATGGCACAATCTCAGCTCACTGCAAACTCCGCTTCCCGGGTTCAAGTGATTCTCCTACCTCAGCCTCCCAAGTAGCTGGGATTACAGGCATGCGCCACCACGCCCAGCTAATTTTTGTATTTTTAGTAGAGACGGGGTTTCACTTTGTTGGCCAGGATGGTCTCAGTCTCTTGACCTTGTGATCTGCCCACCTTGGCCTCCCAAAGTGCTGGGATTACAGGCGTGAGCCACCGTGCCCGGCCTGCTTCTCCTGTTCTTCATCTTGTTCTTCTTCTTCTTCCTTTTGTCTTTTACATCTATCATTTATGACAAAATTTTGGAGTCATGTTATTTTCAAAAAGGAATAATCATTTCTAATTCTTCATTTTTAAAGATGTTTCCCTTAAATTTGAATATCAAACTGTATAAATTAAGTTTAAGTTACTACTATTTTTTTCCTTCAGAATGTTGCTGATGCTGTTGTTAAGAAGTTTGAGCTAGTGTGTCATAGCAACCTCCGTCTTCCTCTTTCCATCCCATCTTTTTTAAGTTCCTGAATTTTTTTTGCCTTAAAACTTAATTTTTTTTCCTTGAAATTCAAACCCAGAGATATGTCTTGTTTGATCATTTTGTATATTCTGTTTTTCCTGTTGCATGGAATTTTGTTTATTTCTTTTTAAATTAGTGATTTGGGTTATTGGCAAATTTCATTCTAGTCTATCTTTGCCTATTCCATTATTCCATTCTAATTTTTCATTTTCTGTATCAATTGTTTTCTGAAGAAACACTGATTCTGTTGATGTTCAACTAACTTTGTCCTCCTCATCCAAGGATTTGGTCCAAGAGAGAGAAAAGTTCATTGCCCCTTTTTTCTTTTTGTTTGTTCGTTTGTTTGTTGTTGTTTTGAAGAGGAGATGAGAAAGGTAAAGAGAGAGGAAGATATTGAAACTTAAATGATTCTTAACCATCAAAGCTGAAAAGCTTTGGAAATCTGGTTTGATGCTTTTACTTTTCAAAGCAGAACCCTGAAATTAAAAATTTAAGTGATTGAGCCAACGACACACACTTTGAGGAGAACATTTGGAAAATTTAGATGAAATATACTATATTGTTTGCTGCACAATTTGCAATTAACAAATTTTCACTTCCTTTATCTTCTAAAAAAGGATTTATAAAACTTATTTCATGTATTTCATGTGATTCTTACCTGGAATAGTATATATTATTTTATGAGCATAAGACACAACCTATAATTACTGTTCTGTAAAAACTATCATAATATGAAAGTGTGGGGGAGGGAAATGCTATTGAAATATTGGCATATCACTACTCCAAGACTAATGCATATTCTTTTCATGTGAGATGAAAATAAAGCCTTATTCAATTATTCATTTAACTAAAAGTGGTCACTTGGCATCTCACACATCACTCACAATTTCTTTGTCTTGCCTCTTGTTGCATTTTCCTGCTGAGCATACTGTCAAATTTCCTCTTTATTAATGCACTAAAATCATTTCTATCAAAATTAAAGTCAAGACATCCCTACACAAAGCAATCTTCATGACTCACCTTTGTCAATGCAGCTTGTATTACCTGGCAGAATTCTAATTTGTTTCTATTGTCTAGGTGTATGTTTTCATTCTTGCTTTCTCTTCCTGAACAATATTTTAAGTTCTCTAAGACTGAAGCTCTATATTCTCATTTTGCATCCCTCAAGTGCCTAGTACAATGCAGTCTGTATTGTTAGTACTTGTCAAACACTTCTGGAAGAAGGAATACCCAGTTCACCCACTTTCTTTCCCACAGATTTTGCCCTCTCACTAGCTACATGATAATAAGGCACTGAGTAAATTGGCATTTTTATATAGCTTTATATGGTTAAAGACAGAAAATTCAGTAGTTTTATATAGCATCTGTGCTGTTCAGAATCTCCCTTTCCTTAAATTTCTCCCTGTGCCACAACAGGTAAAGAATATCTCAGGGTGAGCTATTTTCATCCCTTTTTGACTGTATGGAATGCTCCTTAAGTGTCATTTTATTTTTTTATCCAAAATGTTTAGTTGGAAATTGTTAAATTTCCAAATTGTAAGGCAGTTGTTGACTTTGTTGACTCTTGACCTCATGACCTCATGTAGGGTTCATAGCACAGCCGGGAAAGTTGAGGTATGACCATGTAGCTTTAAGTTAGAGTACCCTTTTCAGTCTAGATGTGTCTTAATTTATGATTTTGTTTACTTTATAATATATACGTCCAAATTAACTTTAAAATTCAAAAATTATAGGGCACATTATATTTATCTGTCAACTGAAATTTTATCTCTTAGTGAAAAAAAAAATCCAAGATTGGTTCAGAAAATTTGGCATTTAAACAGGATCATACTGACTTTCATGGGATTAATAATTCATATGTTTTATCGTATTTGGGGCATTTCAGTAAGTCCATTATACCTATATTTTCTGTGCAGTCAGTAAATTTTGTAGCTCTTAAAACCCATGAAGTGAAATATAGGTTTGAAATGCCATAACACTATCAATACATTAATATTTATGTAGCTCTTTTCATGACAAACATTCTAAAATGCGCTCCAGTAAAATAAAGTGAAATAAAGCATGAAGAGAATGTGGATGATTACAAGTCAAAAGGTTGCTTTAAAAGACAAATCAAATGAATCTGTTTGACGAAGTGATTGACCAGTTTACACCAAAGATAGCAACTCCATTTAGGTGACCTCTTAACTTGGGAAGCTAGAGAATTAGAGGCAGCCCTTCAACAATGAGGCAAGTGTTATAATTAACAAGTCAAATTCAGCAAAGCCTTTCTAATCACTCAGATAAGACAGCTTCATTCCTGTTGGTCTATAAACTAACCAGGGCTTCAGGCCATGGGCCATTTTCATAACTCTATCAATGTGACTTTGCAGTCCTAAATATAAATAAGGGTAAATAAGCTGATAAAATGCAGTCATAAAACATTTTTAATTTATTGTGGGGTTCTTCACACATCACAGAAACAAATTATTGATATAAATTATGCTAATTTCTTTCTGTGATGAGGTCATTCATGAGTAAAAGATAAATCTAGAGGACAAATGCCCTTTAATGCCTACCTACTGCTTCTCTAAATGTGGGTTGTCTCCACCTAATTTCCTTTGAAAATGAATGATGCTATGCAAAGATATTCTTCACTTTAAGACCTGTTTAGTTTAAAATGATGAGAAAGCTGGGGGGACTAGGTGGAGTAATAACCTAGGATGTTGTTGAAGTATATAATCACAAATAAACAGGAAAGAGCGAGCCTGGAAGGCCATGTGATCCTGAAATACTGTTGTTATAACATTTTTAACTACCAAAATTCTTCCAGTGACTATGGAAACTTATTTTTTTCCTTCGGTATGCCTTATCACCCTGCAAAAAAAGTTACTCTAAAGATGGATTACTGATTTTTTTCCCCCCTGTATCTGAGAAGCTTTAGGAAAAAGATGACCATTATCCACTCATTTTAGCTACATATTCATTCATGTTATGAAGAAGGACAGGAATGAGAAATAACCAAGAGTGATCATCACACTTATGACACTGTCATATTCCACTAAGGATCAGTGTTTTTCTAATATAATTACACATTGTAGTGATAAAACCTATTGGCTTAATGCTCTCCCTTTGTTGGGGGCCAGCATTCCTAAATGAAAAGAACATTCATGATAAGTAATACTTTCCTTTTTTTTTCTTTCTTTCTTTTTTTTTTTTTGACATGGAATCTCGCTCTGTTGCCAGGGCTGGAGTGCAGTGGCGCAATCTCGGCTCACTGCAACCTCTGCCTCAATTCTCCTTCTTCAGCCTCCCGAGTAGCTGGGATTACAGGTGTCTGCCACCACGCCTGGCTAATTTTTGTATTTTTAGTAGAGATGCGGTTTCACCATGTTGGCCAAGCTGGTCTCAAACTCCTGACCTCAGGTGATCCACCTGCCTTGGCCTCCCAAAGCGCTGGGATTATAGGCATGAGCCATCGTGCCTGGCAGATAAGTAATACTTTTCTAATTAAAATAAGGCTTAGTTCTCTCTGTGATGTCCTTATAGTGATTCTCTGTTCCACTGAGAATTCACTTGTCTGACTCTAATATTTCAAAGCTCCACATGGCTTTTAAGATAAAGTATACCCTGATCTGGATCCTTCATGACTTTTCAGCTTCATTCATGTGCTATCACTCAGTTACTCACATGTTATGTTCTGGAATGCCTTGAGATGCCTTCCTGACCCTGCCTTCCTAACTTCTATTTTCCTTATCTAAGACTTAATTGGGGCATCACTTCTTCTTGAGATATTTTATAACATTTATTTTCTTTCTTTGAGCCTGAGATAGTGCCCGTCTTGGGTAGGTATTACCACAGTGCCTTATGTTTTCCTGTATTACTATGTTATTAGTATAATTAACCAAGTCACAGAATGTGAGCATTAGAAAGTAGACACTTGGATTAATTTACCTCTGCCTTCTAAACACCTGTGAGAGTTCATGACATTTAGTGGAAGCTCAAAAATTATTTGAAGGAATAAATAACGTGATCAGGCAAACAGTTTAACTTTACATAGTTGCTATGCAGGAAAAACTCATTGCATCCAAGTGGCCCGTCCAGAGACACTCATTCCCTTCTTAGAAATAACCACCTACAACTTATAGCATTGCCAGGTGTTTGTATCTGGCCCCTAAAATTAAAGGAGTCCCAGTTTCTGTCCTAAAAGTGTATATATTAGAACCATTAGATAACCCAAGAGGCTCTTTGAGAATTGAATTAAGAAACAAAACAAAACAAAATAAAAAATTGGGTAAAATACATCTATGTGAGATGTATTTGGCTAAAAGGTCTGCTAATGCCCTGAAATTTGTGGATCCCAGGCTTTTTGCTGGGCTATCAAAACACTTGCTTATAAAGCCAGAATGCAGTTAAGCTTCCTTTTTAGATAATTATATCCTTTTTCATCTCAAATTATAGACTTACTAGTTCAACATCTATTCCTTCTAAAAAGCTTTGCTAGATAAATTATAAGCCTGAGTTTTTCAAGCAAGTATTTTTTTAAAAAGCATAGATTTTTGACATAGGTATTCCACTATTCACCTCTATTTTACACTTTACCACCTTGAGGAGTAGTTGTTGGTATTAACATGATTGTTTAAAGTTTTAATTGAGACACCTTCCCTTCCCCATACACCGTTGATCATGGATAGAAAGCAGGTAGGGGCTAAGGCCCTGGGCTGGTGATGTTCATATAGAACCTACATTTAACATTTGCAGTGCTTTTGAGACCTTAATTTCTGGATCTTTTGCATCTGAATTATCTGGGATGATTGTTAAAAGGTGGACATTGTGACCCTTCCAGAAACTAAATCAATCTTAATTTCTGAGAGTGAGCCAAGAAATACGCATTTTAATCAATGACTTTAAAAGATGTATCACTAATCGAGAAAAGTGGGCCCTGTTATAAGTTCTTTCAGTAGGATATATTGTGAATGTCTTATTTTGACATGGATTTATCATTCAATAAATATTTATTGACAGTTTTACTATGTGTTAGACTGTTTCAGTAGTGGAGGAAATGAAGGTGAGAAAAGGAATTAAGAAGATTTGGGTTTAAGGGATTGCCAGATAACATACAGAAAAACAGCTAGTTGTAAACAAGGATTATGCCCTCCCCTTCACTCTGAAGTACTGGAAACTAAGCATTTTCTTCTGTGTAGACAGCAACTTTTTAATACCAGACTAGAAACAGTCTTCAGAGCAGAAAAGATCACATATCAACTCTTCCAAAACTAAGGTGTCATGTTTGCTTCAACAGGCCTCCAGTTTCAAATTGGTGTATAAATAATAATGCTGCTCCATGACAGGCTATCTCATCCAGTTGATGCTTAGAAATCTAGATTGCGATGATTTTTATCTTTTTAGGGCATACTAGGAAGTTTTATTGCTTCAAGCTCTAGACTTCAAATGAATGTTTTCTAGAGATTTGATTTCTTATTTACCAGGCAAGGTAGATTGTTTGGTTTTAGTTGCTTTAAAATTTTCACATACTTAAATTACGGTTCTGTTTTGTGGCATAGAAGCTGGGGCTCCCACCTGCTCTGTTGTCTGTGCGTAGATGACCTGTCTTCTCAAGGAGACCGTTGCCTTGCCAGTGGGTTCTCCCTTAGTCTCCACATAACATGAATGGCTTGACCTTCCATGTTGACACTTGTCCCTGTTAAACAACCCAGTTTCATTAAAAAATGGCAGTTACACTTCTGGCTTGGCAGACTGATAAAACATTTGGCCGGTCACTGAACTGTCACTCTGAATTTCAGATACTCATTCCAGTGGACCATCTTCACTGCACTACCATACCATGGCTATTGAGAAGTTTACTACAACAATATTCTCAATAATATAAAAATCAATCATTGGATTAAACTAGATCACCACATTTTATCAACATTCCTGTACTATGGATTTCATTATACTGTCACTTTGGCTTATGTTGCCAGCTTATATTGAAGGATGTCATCAGAAACCACCCTGTGGGGCTTTGTGACATATTTACTGTAGGGATTAAGTTTCTTGGTTCACCACATGACAAAGAAACCTTCTTATAGGAGTCTGTGAGAGAATTTCTCTCTGTGCTTCTGAGAAATTGATTTATCTTTATCTTACAAACGCAGTGAATTACATAACTAGTCATGTTTTTCTTTTCCTGCTGACTGATCAAAAGGTCGTGACATATTTGTGATTTCTCTTTACTATGTTCATAGGATCTTGTGGTATATATGTTCTGTACTTATCTCTCGGCACCACATCACATTTTATTACCCTTAATTTTTTGTTACCTCAAATTTCTTCCAAACTAAAAACATATTTTATTTTTCTACTGTGTGTATTTCTTAAGATGTCCTAAATTATTTCTGGAACAAGACAAGTTACAGTTGTGAATTTTTTGAAGTTTGTTTGTTTTTGTTTTTTAAGATAAGAAGTGATCACTAACGATTACCTTGAAAAGCTCCAACCTATAACAATGAATAATCGAAAGAATATTAGTGAGATGGCATTAGTGAGAGTGGGGTGGAATAGAAAAAGAGGTAAAAGAGAGCTTGGAGAAACTTAAGTAACAGAATGGACTTTGGTAAGCATTTGTAATATAGGCCCATATATTTTCCACTTTTGGCTTTTGTAATTTCAGCTGTCTGTTTCCTTCACAAACATTATTCCTACAGTTGACAGTATCAGACTCAAGCAGATAGGAATTAGACAATCAACCAGAGTAAGTTTGGTCCAGTTTAGCATTGAGTGCTTTAATTGTGATAAACTGCTGTTCCTTTGATATTTGGTAATATCAAATTGACTAATTAAACCTTAATTACTGTAGATTATATTCATGAGAAAGCATTTCATTTTACTATTGGAAACATTGAATATAAAAGCCAGAAAATCAATTAGAGAACATCCAGTCTAATGTGTTTATTAATAATTGCTGAAACTGGGGATCAGAAATGTAATGTTACTCGCCCAAGTTACTTGCAACCAATTAGTGGAAGAACCAGAACTAGAATAGAAATCACTTGATTCATGGACCAGCAACAACTCAGAATGTAAAGTTATTACAAGTCCTCCTTTTGAGGGCTTTGCATCATTTTCTTTAAAGAGGCCAAGTTCAATATCTATCAGATGTCAAAACAAAGAAAGAGGTTACTGATATGAGAGGATACTTGGAAGTGCCATTCATGGTCTATGCTGTTTCCAGCATCTGAAGATGAGGTGAGCTGAAAGTGAAACATGGGAAGAGGGCAGTAAGGGCAGTTAAATGAGAAAACCATGTCAGAATGGCTCTAGTAATTTGAGTAGCGAATGGAGATAAATAAAGGTATATCTACGCTTGCTCGTTAAGTGTATATTGAAATAATTCTCTTGATAATCTAGGTAAAGAACCACATTTTTGCCTAAAATCAAGATGAATGAATCTAATGGGGTTTTAAGGATTTTATTATTTCATTTTTAAAAAATTATTTTTGATAGTATAGACAAAGCAATAGCTATTAAATATCTGCAGTTATAGATTGAAACATTTTGTGCTTACAGAGCAAATTGTGATTGAGAGGTTAGAATTTTGGGAATTTGTTTATTGTAACCAGTCAATCTGGAGAGCTCATTTGAGAATAATATTGTTCCTATAGCACAGGAGTTTCTTTGCTTCATTGTGAGTTGTAATTGCTGGAGATTCTAATCATACAGGTGATGGCCCTAATTATATTTATTTTATTTCAGTCAGCAAGACTACATTTACATGAAGCTGACACAATAATTCTTCCTGGTGTTTGACCGTCAGTCTGTATAAATCTGTTGCATGAAATAACAGTAAAAACAGTTCTACTCTCTCTTGTTCACCCTTCCAATAATAATAATGACCTCTCCTATTTTACAAAAGGTTTTTGTTTTTTTTTTTAACTTTTACGTTCAGGGGTACAAGTGCAGATTTGTTACATAGGTAAACTTGTGTCATGGGAGTTTGTTGTACAAATTATTTCATCACCCAGGTATTAAGCTTAGTACCCTTAGTTATTTTTCCTGATCTTCTCCCTCCTCCCACCATCCACCCTCCAATAGGCCCCAGTGTGTATTGTTCCCCTCTGTGTGTTCATATGTTCTCACCATTTAGCTTCAACTTATAAGTGAAAACATGTGGTATTTTGTTTTCTGTTCCTCTGTTAGTTTGCTAGGGATAATGGCCTCCAGCTCCATCTTTGTTCCTGCAAAAGACATGATTTCATTTTTTTTTGTATGGCTGCACGGCATTACATTATATATATGTACTACATTTTCTTTATCCAGTCCGTCACTGATGGGAATTTGATAACATGTCTTTGCTATTGTGAACAGTGCTGCAATGAATATATGCATGCAAGTCTTTATAATATAAAAATTTGTATTCCTTTTGGTATATACCCAGTAATGAGATTACTGGATCAAATGGTATTTCTGTCTTTAGGTCTTTGAGGAATCACCACACTGTCTTCCACGATGGCTGAACTAATTTATGCTCTCACTTACAGTGTATAAGTGTTCCTTTTTCTCCACAACCTTACCAGCATCTGTTATTTTTTGACTTTTTAATAATAGCTATTCTGATTGGTGTGAGATGGTATCTCACTGTGGTTTTGATTTGCATATTTTAATGATCAGTATTATTGTGCTTTTTCTCATATGATTGTTGGCCACATGTATGTCTTCTTTTGAAAAGTGTCTGTTCATGTCATTTGCCCACTTTTTGTTTGTCTTGTATTTCTTTTGTTAAAATTTAATTTAATTTTAGATTCCAGGATACATGTGCAGGATGTGTGGGGTTTGTTACATGTGCCATGGTAGTTTGCTACACCTATCAACCCATCACCTAGGTATTAAGCCCCTCATGCATTAGCTATTTATCCTGATGCTCTCCCTTGCCCCCGCAACAGGCCATAGTGTATGTTGTTTCCCCCAGTGTGTCCATGTGTTCACATTGTTCAGCTCCCACTTGTAAGTGAGAACATGTAGTGTTTGGTTTTCTGTTCCTGCATTAGTTTGCTCAGGATAGTGGCTTTCAGCTCCATCCATGTTCTTGCAAAGGACATGGTCTCATTTCCTTTTATGGCTGCATAGTATTCCACATTGTCTGTGTACTACATTTTCTTTATCCATTCTATCACTGATGGGCATTTGGGTTGATTCCATATTTTTAGTATTATGTATAGTGCTGCAATGAACATACACATGCATGTATCTTTGTAATAGAATGATTTATATTCCTTTGCCCAGTTTTTTTATGGGGCTGTTTGGTTCTTCCTATAAGTTCGTTTAAGTTCCTTCTAGATGGTGGATATCAGATCTTTGTTGGATACATAGTTTGCAAAAGTTTTCTTTTGTGTAGGTTATATTTTTACTCTGTGGATAGTTTCTTTTGCTGTGCAGAAGCTCTGTAGTTAAATTAGATCCCATTTGTCAATTTTTGCTTTGGTTGTAATCACTTTCAGCATCTTCATCATGAAATCCTTGCCTGTGCCTATGTCCTGAATGGTATTACCTAGGTTGTCTTCCAGGGTTTTTATAGTTTTGGGTTTTACATTTAATCCACCTTGAGTTCATGTTTGTATATAATATAAGGAAGGGGTCCAGTTTAAACCTTCTGCATATGGCTAGCCAGTTATCTCAGCACCATTTATTGAATAGGGAAGCCTTTCCCCATTGCTTTTTGTCAGGTTTGTCAAAGATCACATAGTTGTAGGTGTGCAGCCTTATTTCTGCTTTCTCTGTTTTGTTCTGTGTCTCTCTATTCTGTCTATGTTTCTGTTTTTGTACCAATACCATGCTGTTTTGGTTACTGTAGCCCTGTAATATAGTTTAAAGTCAAGTAGCATGACTAGAGTAGTATAACCTAATAAAAAGTTTCTTCTTTTTGTTTAGGATTGCCTTGGCTATTAGGGCTCTTTTTTGGTTCCATATGAATTTTAAATTTTTTTTTCCTAGTTCTGTGAAGAATGTCAATAGTAGTTTAATAGACATGGTATTGAATCTATAAATTGCTTTCGGCAGTATGGCCATTTTAATGATGTTGATTGTTCCTATTCATGAGCATGGAATGTTTCTTCATTTGTTTGTTTCACCTCTGATTTCTTTGAGCAGTGATTTGTAGTTCTCCTTGTAGAGATCTACGAAAGGCTGTCTAACCAATTATCTTTAAGTTTCATAGCTTTATGAGGTAAGCAGGATAGGTTCAGTTATTCCCATTTTATAAGCAAGAAAGCTGAGAGCCAGAGGAATGATCTCCCATGTCTAAGGTTAGTAAGTGAGGCAGGGGTGGAACATAGACCACAGCCCAGGTCTTTTGGCTCCTGGTCCACTGCCTTTATCAATCCTATTACCACAGCAATGGTCTTGGTCAGTGTGACCTCTCAGGTGAATCAACTAAAAAAACATGACAACATGCATTCTTGTTTCTAGTTTCCTTCTCCAAACCCTTCCTCTACTTGCTCATTTCAATAGAATAAGCTTCCTAAACTTCAATTTAATATGGAAGATAATTGACCTGTGGCTTTTGTGTTGATGGTGTAATGGGAGCCTACTGGGGGTTTATACTCAGGCATATCTAATCTGGAAGTGCAGGGGACTTAATGCCTCATAGAGAGGCCATAACTTTGGTCATAACTTTGGTCATAACTTTTGACCAATGGGAGCTGGAAGTCAGTATTGAAATTCCTCCACTATTATCCCCTTTCTCCACCCATTGACAGATGGTTCTGAAATCAAGTTGGCCCATGGGGATATGTTTCCATGAATGGAGAAACTGATTGTAGTTAGCAGTGCTAGTTGCAAAATGTATCATTATATTGACTCTCTCTTCTCTGCTTCACTCCTCTTCTTACTCCCTTATACCTGTTTCCTAGCGTAGTGTAACCTAATAAAATAATATCACATGAGCCCTCAGTCTCAGGCTCTGATTTCTGGGGAAGCCAGGCTAAAATGCCAGGTTCATCTCTGTCTCATTTTTGGCTTAAGGAGTTCTTCCTTATATCCCCACCTGGATTACCTGACCCCTCCTCCCTATTCACCGAAACTTTACTCCTCTTTCAAGGTAGAGTAATGTGCCACTTGTTCTAGGATTGTTTGCTGTAATGTTCCTGGCCCCAAGTGATTTTTTTTCTCTCTCAGGAACCTCCATCTTTACACCCAATGAAGAGAACCACAATATGTTTGTATCTCCTGTGACAAATAGTAAGACAATTTTGTATAAGCTAACCTTCTTTGCTACTTCATAAACAACTTTAAGACCTTAGGTTATTTATTTTTGTATCCTTAGCACCTGACATAGTGTTCAATGATTATTTCCCAATTGCTCATAATACAAGGGAAGGGAGAATTGCTCATTCTGATCAACTTAATCATCCATCTAATTGTTGCAAGATCACTTTGGATGAATCATGTCTGAAGGAGTGTGACAGTGCAGCTCTGCTGTAGTTTGATTATTTGTTCTGTGTTGATATGAGAATAGTTGAGACTCATAAACTACATGCTGTATGTCATGTTTCCTTTATTTTTACTGTCTTTGCCTGGACTAAAGCATTTGGAAATCAAAGGCGAGGAGAATATTTAAAGGTTCTAAGCATTTTTATTATGCTGTATCTCTTGTTAATTCATTTAATCTTTCATTTTATAAAAGAAAAAATTAGACACAGAATATTGGCGTAGCCTACAAAGGACCTCGTGACCTAAGGAGGTCATGCATGGTGGTGTAGGGGACATTCTAGGAATAAGAAAAGCTCTGTATACACAAAGCAAGTTTTATGATACTGTACGGGGGTGGGATGCTTGAGAAAGTTTTTTTTTTTTAATAATGTTAATACATATAAAATGGACTGAGCAACCTAACAGTGTGTGTGTGTATTGCTTTTTAGCTTTTGGATTACCATACAGATAAGGCTAATTTCAAAGGATCCATGCTGGTGGAAATATGGCTTAATATAAGAAATTAATGAGTGAAATTTCTCTAATATTCAAATCACTTCTTAGTATTAACTTAAAAACTTACCAAGGCAAATTAATTATTTCAGACTGTTGGGTTTCCACTAAGAACATTTTTACTTAAAAAATGTTTAGCACTAGGTGGGGAAAGGAACTTGCACTGGGGCAAAGGGAATCTCTTTTCCCTTGGCTTCATGTTTCCCTGTGAAAAGATCTCAGGGTGAGTAACGTACCTGGTCTTTTAAGCCACTGACTTAGCCTTCAGATGAAATGAGTGATCTGATGGAGAGTTTGGGAGGAGTTAAGCCTGTTCTGTTCAGCCTGTCTTTCTATTCTCTTTTTGGAGCCAACTGTCTTCAGGGCACTCACATTCTTCTCTGAACCACCATGCTGGAAGTTTCAAGTGTGAAGGCTGTAATTCTGCAGGGAGGCCTGTGGTCATTCCAGTCAGCCAGGGACTGGGGAGGGTGAATTTGTATAATTCAAAGATAAATCTTACTTGCTTTGTTCAGTTAAGCCACATAAACGAATATCAATTTAAGAATAAAGGTGCATTTTCAATGTACATCTATCTGACATTTATGAATTTATATGGGTTCTAAATACAGACAGATCAGAGAAAGAGTAGTTATTTATGGACTGTATCAAACCCTGACAGAGCTGTCTTTACTTTCTCAGTGGTAGCAGTGAAGGGATATCCAAGCTGAAGGAACTGGAAATGCTCATTCGCCTAAAGGGAAACTCTGCTAACTGTAACATCCCACAGAAATGTCCTTAAGAAGAAACCATAAATAGTAAATAATTGTACATGTACATAAGCCAATTTATTAATTCTAAAATTAGTTCTTTTTCTGTGTGGGCATGCAGTGATAGATGTTAAAACTGCCAACACTTCTCTCAAAGCAACAAAAATGTGTTTCTTTTATGATTAGACAGATTCAGTATAGTTAAAAAAACAAAGCAGGTTGCATTTGGAAAGCACAGTATCTAATGCTGTTAGTTAACTCTGCAACCTTTATTCTGTAGAGTGATTTGAATTCATTTTTTAGACTAAACATTCAGCATTGCCCTCCAGCAAACAGCTCTGGAGATGAAAGGTATCATTTGTAAACTGGTCCCATTTGCCTTTGAAGGCTCAAATTCCCTAATCCATCCCTTCCCCCAACTCTCCTTGACATCTATGTGAAAGTAAAAGATTATTCAGCTTAAAATAGGATCTTGTAAACAGTAAAAAATATTTTCTGGAATAATATATCTTGTTTCTTTTTTATGTTAGCAGATTACAATTTTCTTATGGGATGGTAAAAAGAAGTGTTTTGACTCTAAACATTTAATTTTTTTTTTTGGAAAGTGACATTATTTATCAGTCCAAGGTTTCAGATAAACTTTTTACTTCAGCCCTTGGAAAAGTCTCTAAAATATATTCCAGAACTATATGTATAATTTTACCAGAAAGTAAGCAATGCTGTAATATATATTAGGTGCTTGAATAGAGCAAGCACTGAATATTTGACAAACACAACCTTGACTTTTACCGCCTTGCTATTTGGTTAGGAATATATGGCATAGAAACTGTTTTTATACTCCTTTTCTGCCCATTTCCAGACACATGCTTATCTAATCTTGATTAAAAGCTCTTTAACAGACATTAACTAGCCCTCTGGAAGGACAGACTGCTACTCAACTTTTGAGTGTTTTACCCCATATGAGTAACTTGTGCCTGATTGTTTCATAATAAATAGTGTAATTTGATTAGGTATTAATTGCTGAGCCCTCTCACGTAAGTCCCGTTCCACTTTTTAAATTTGTGATGTGACTTTTATCTTTTGGGGGTTTGTTTTTCTTTTTGCCCCCTCTCATTGTCAATCCTCATGCTTCAACAAAACGCCACGAATAAAAACCACTTTCCAAAACCAAATCAGATGGAGCAATAGCCCTGTTAGATTAACCACAGTTCCTCCCTTGTCAGCCCTGTTAGATTAACCACAGTTCCTCCCTTGTCAGCTATAAAGAAAAAACTCTTTTTTTTTTTTTTTAAACAAGGAAAGAATGAACATTTGACCTTTGTCGCGGACTTCCCAAAAAAGGAAGGAAACTACTCTCGCATCCATCCATGTCATCTACATGATTGTGTAGAAGATCTTGTTTCCTGAGCTATCTTGATCCACAGGGCTTTTTGATCACTGGATTAGAAATTTCTCCTGCACTCTCATTTTGAGAATAAATTGCTCGTGGGCTACCCCCATAACTTTGGGGAGAAAAAAGAAAATTGACTGTGCTTATGAGTTGGACACATGAAAATGAACAGATATGAGCAGGCAGAAGTTGAGTTAATCACTCCCTCAAATTTAATCACGAGGAAAGCTCCCCTCTTCTCTCGAAGATTTCCATGTGGCTATGGTTGCAAGTGACCCTGTCCTTTCAGTCATGGGTCTGGCGAATGTGAAATTATTTTGGTATGTCGATCTGAAATGCCTCCCATGATTACTTTGGAGTTATCAAATGGAGGTCAGAAACAAGGCAGTAAGGTCTCTCACCTTTCAAAAAAACAAGATTTGAGGAGAGCATAGTTTCTGAGTGGGATAATTCAACAGAGTTGGGAATGAGAAGGGTCTCAGGGCTGGGATATAGATGCTACCTGTCAAAATGGAAGAGAGCAGCTGAGGAGATGCGAGCTCAGACTGCTTCAGGCAGCACTCCTCATTACTCATGCTTTCATCGCTATTAAAATGCATTCCCAGGTCTTTCACTGTGCAAAAATGATTTTGGTCAAAATGCATTGAAAATATAATGGCGTGAATAGGAGAAATACCAGTTTCCTGCCTGTAGCACTACTCAGATTTAGGATTTATTATTTTTAAAGTCAGTACATAAAATTGCCTTAGAAAGAGTCTCCTGCATTTCAAGTAGCCTTTTTCTTAAGGAAAGTCTTCTGAAGTTGAGTTTAACTGCAAAGGAAATACAACGTGAAAACACAGTATAAATTAGAGTGGTTATTGCTCTGCATCACTTTGTGTGTTCCTATAGCAACCCCTCCAATTTTACTTGCCCCTTATTGACCAGGCACATTTTTCGTGACTGCTCACAGCAGAATAAAAAATGAAGAAGAAAAAGAAAATGAGGTGGGGGATGAGAATTAAAGCTATCTTTTGTTCTTTTACAACCACAGGTTAACTGGTTATAAATGTCCCCCTTCCTTCAAATAAGTGTCATGGAGTTTTCCTTGCTTAAATTAATTCTTTCCAAGCAGTCCACAGAAACAATCAGCCCCATATTCTTACCCGAAGCATTTGGATTCTGAGACAAATGCAGCCCCATGACTATGTATATTAGCCAGATGCAGGCTATATTTACCCACCCTATGCTTACAGCAACTGCACTGTCAAGAGAAATGTAAATATTAATGAAGGATGTTTCCCAGGATAGGATCTTCAGTGAGTGCTCTTCATCTGTCAAAACTGACTCAATCAGTACACACTTTCTGGACAGATCGAATGTTTATAGAGCCATAAATTGACATTTATCTGACAATTTTTGTATTCCTATCAAATGGCTTTCTTTACTAGGCCTAGGCATTTCAACACACGGTTGGTGTTACTGTGGAGAAATTAAACATACACTCTCCTTCACATTTTTCAAGTGAAGATAAGAATAAACTGGATGTACAGCTAGTGGCCCTTTCAAGAGTTATTTGGGTATGAAATGTAAACATTGGCCTAAGTAAAAAGGTAGAGATAAATCCTAATACAGTACTTTACCCTTGTCTGTTAGGAAAGGAAAAAATCCTATTATAAAAGTACTCATTATTAAATTAATTGTGAAATAACATGATGTATATGCATAAAGAGATACTTGTGTTATAGTCTCCAAAATATTAACAGATGATGAGATTGCTACTTTCTTTTCTGTGACTTTTTTTTCCGAAAACAAAACAAATCTATAAAAATAAATCTAAACTACTTGTTTTTCAAAAGTTAAATATAACTGTTAAAAGAATAAAACTTACATAATATATGCACACTCAAACATACACATACACACAAACCCTGTAAGTTAAATAACTCTTAAGAATAGGAAGACACTAGCTGTTACTGACATTTACCATATGCCTGCCAATTTCCAACAGGACCATATTTTATAAAATTAGCCATATTATGTTTACCTTATACATGTAATAGGATTTATTGCCTCCCAACATCGAGATTGTTAAGCAATATCAGTATATATTTATAATATATAGGATAATTATGATCCTAAAATAGGTCTTATAATTTTTAAAAATAATTCAAAAATCAATTGCAAAAGTTAAATGTGTGTATGTGTGTGTTCAGCATGTGTGTTTTTACAAGAGCACAAATCCATTTTTATTTATTTTTATTATTTTTAATCCTTAAGGGGTACAGTATCATACAGATTCTGTGTCCAATGGCCTTAGCCAAAAGATTGCTTTGGAATTTGGCACAAACCATGCCATTGTTTCCATGCACTGGAGTTACCTTTCTCAAGATTACTCTTGGTCTGGTTTTGTTTGGTTTACTACCAGGAGTCACTGTGTTGTTCTTTGCATTGTATACATAAACACAACTCTTGCCCAAATAAAGTTAAGTTTCATCATGGGCATAAACGCCTTCAATTCAAAAGAGAGATGCACATTCCCTTTGGTTCTGGAGACCCAGCTCATAGCCAACAAAAATGGCCTTGGACCACAGCCTTTCAGACATTTTTACATTTGCCTTTTACATGTCCTGTTCCTAGCAGGCCTCCTCAGGCTCCAAGATGACGTAAAGAGGCAAAAGTTACATTTGAATGCTGAAGACCCAAATAGCCAAAGGCAGCAGAGAAGCAAGTGCTCTGAGGCTACCTAAAAGAGGACCTATTATTTCTGTGCCTTCTCCAGAAATATCCAGAGGACCAGAGAGAAGCACATCAATAAAAACATCTATAGCCATGACAGAGTACAGTCAAGTTAATGGAAACCTTATGCCATGATCTCTTTCACATTTTGGTTTGTTTCGTTTGTTTAGACAATTGAGGTAACAGCAAACAAGTCCATCTTAAGAGTCAGATGGACAGCTAAAAAGAATCTAAGAGGTCCCCAATAACCATCACTTTTCCTTTCTATTACTCCAAATGTTTTTCTTTTGTCAACATCTATTAAAACAATTCTACCAGGCTACTAACGTTGGCTACATATCTGATCACAGGATCATCCATTTAGCTTTGGTACTTTTCAAAATGTAATTAGCCCAGAAAATAGTGTAGGTTGGTTTTTATGGCATATACTTGAAAGCAGGTTTTACTAAAGGAATTAGAGACAACCTAAATATTCTGGTGTATCTTCAATATACCTTACTACCACACTTGTCACATTGTATTTTAATTTTGTACCTGTTTATTAATATACTCCCCCAATTCAGCAATAAACTTAAACTCAAAAATTACTAGGTGCTCAAAAATGTTTTGTGTTTTGATTTTTGTTTGCTCATTCATTTTTAAGAATTAAATATGTCAGGGGCTGTGAAAGGAGAAAAGGGTGGTGATTGTTTGATTCCCTAAAACAGAATAAAGGAATGTAAATCTTTTACCTTCTTGGTCTGCTCAGCAGGTTTTTCATTTATAGATTTTTCTTTCTCTACCCTGATGGGACTGCCAATCACATAGCTTCACCTGTAGTACAAAGGTGCTTGGCAATGATGCTAAGCCAAGCAGAATACCCTATCTCTCTAGAATTATTAATTAAGTCATCAGTAGCAAAATGACTCAGCCAAGCCAATCAGAGTTCTTTTGTGAGGGATTGATATGGACCTTGAAATTTAAGATTCTTTATCTAGAGATTCAGACCATTGAAGATCATTAAGGATTATCATTGCTGAGAATGAGGCCTACTAGGAAAAAGGAGAGCTAAGAGGAAGAAAAAAAATTGGATAGATTTCCTAATGACATCATTAAATTCTTAAATCAAGCCATACCCAACATTGGACATTCCATAGATATTCATATGAGCCAATATGTTACTTAATTTGTTCGTTCAAGTTTGTTTGAGTAGAGTCTGTCATGTCTTATAACCTAAAGTCTTAACTAATATATGGGGTGCTATAGAGTTTACAAAGCTCCAAGCATTGAAAGCAAAATGTGACTGGATAACACAAAAGAGCTGAGCCAAGACTGCTTTCTCCATTCTTTGTGGAGCTAGTGGCCTCTTGCCTCTGCTTCTTATTAAAAATTTGCTTCAGTTTCTTCCTGTCTCTGCAATTTATGTATTTCCATTCTGTATTTATAATTGTGCCTTCTCCTTTTCTGTATAACAATGTCAGATAGTTAGCATGTAACCTAGAGTCAGGGCCAGAATTACTACCATTCCTCAGAGCACTATGGAGCATGTTGTCTCAGCTTTCTCTCTGCCTCAGCTTCCTTTCACAACATTCCACTAGAGATTCAAGGCAATTCGATCCTGTTGATATACCCTACATGAGTCAGCACCATAGGACAGACAGTAAGGATGTAAAGCGAATCTGGAAAACCAAACAATTTATCTGATAGAATGAAGCAACGTAAATTGAAGAATACAGAATTTGTCCAAAGTTTTATTTTGTTTGCTAGTTTAAAATATGTGCAAGTCCTGCTGGAAAGGTCTAATTTATATCTGAGAAGCAAGCTGTTTTCTGATCTAATGTACCTTTTTAGTTTAAAAGGATGCATTTTAGCAGGAAATTCTCTGGTTAGCTCAACAAGCCTTGCACTGCAATCTGACTACACATACTGGAGTGAAACGTCATCATGCCCTTGGGTCACGAGGAAGAGCCTCATATTGATAAGATACCAGGTCTACCTATACCCCTAATAACTGAATTATTTATCCTGTAACAAAGTTTGTTTCACCAAGACTTAAGTTAAGCAACTCTTAGAGACAATTGGAATAAAAGTAAAGCATTGAAACCTAAATGTAACTATTAAATTTAAAATTATTGCCCAGATAAAGTGGAGTTCAAAATTAATTATATAAAACATGTTGGTTTTATGACTAAATATAGCTTTACATAATATACTTTTAATGTTTATGCTCATTGGAACTTTATTTCACTCCTTTCCTTTGGAAAATAGTACATTAAAATGTATTTGACCTGCTCTTTCTGCTTTCAAGGGAATGAATTACTTGCTATGGGCCATGCCACCCACACCTTCCTTTCTTATCCCCTCACACAGATTTTGCCAAAAGTTAAATTAATTCCACCTAAGGTATTTTTTTTTTTTGCCTACATTTTCAGTCCTCCTCCACTTCAAGGAATCTTATTTTCACATTTAGTTAAATCTCCTATTTCTCTAAAATAATCGCTCAAAGGGATTTGATGCCAGAAGTCCACATTAGCACAGCATTGCCCCATAGCCCTTCAGAATGCAGCTTTGAAATATTTGCACTGTGTGCCCCTGCAATTAAATGACAAACCAGTAGTTCCCCTGAGGGACTAGGCTGGTGTGATTTTACATTATGGAAGTTGTATACTTTTCTGTAATTATGCTGAGATCTATTTGTGTTATTAGCAGGCTACTTCAATTTATAGAAACAGCAGATTGTAGATGTAGATCATCTGTAATTCTTTCACCTTCCAGATTAGGAAACCAATACCCAATCAAGTATTGTGACTGTCTAAATGTCACATAGCTACTGATTACTGTGTGACCTTTTCCTCTTTCAGAGGTTTTGAAAATCAAAGAAAATGTGTAATAAATTGCAATAGCTCAATATCCTAAAGTCCCAGTGAGAGGTGACAGCATGCTGGCAGTCCTCAGAGCCCTCGCTTGCTCTCGGCACCTCCCCTGCCTGGGCTCCCACTTTGGTGGCATTTGAGGAGCCCTTCAGCTCCCCCCCTGCACTGTGGGAGCCCCTTTCTGGGCTGGCCAAGGCTGGAGCCCACTCCCTCAGCTTGCAGGGAGGTGTGGAGGGAGAGGCACGGGCGGGAACCGGGGCTGCATGCGGCGCTTGAGGGCCAGCTGGAGTTCCGGGTGGGCGTGGGCTTGGCGGGCCCCGCACTCGGAGCAGCCGGCCAGCCCTGCTGGCCCCAGGCAATGGGGGACTTAGCACCCGGGCCAGTGGCTGCGGAGGGTGTACTGAGTCCCCCCAGCAGTGCCCGCCCACCGGCGCTGTGCTCGATTCCTCGCCGGGCCTTAGCTGCCTTCCTGCGGGGCAGGGCTCGGGACCTGCAGCCTGCCATGCCTGAGCCTCCCACCCACTCCATGGGCTCCTGTGTGGCGCGAGCCTCTCCGACGAGCACCACCCCCTACTCCACGGCGCCCAGTCCCATCGACCACCCAAGGGCTGAGGAATGCGAGTGCACGGCGCAGGACTGGCAGGCAGCTCCACCTGCAGCCCAGGTGCGGGATCCACTTGGTGAAGCCAGCTGGGCTCCTGAGTCTGGTGGGGACGTGGAGAGTCTTTATGTCTAGCTCAGGGATTGTAAATACACCAATCAGCACCCTGTGTTTAGCTCAAGGTTTGTGAGTGCACCAATGGACACTCTGTATCTAGCTGCTCTGGTGGGGACGTGGAGAACCTCTATGTCTAGCTCAGGGATTGTAAATACACCAATCGGTACTCTGTATCTAGCACAAGGTTTGTAAACATACCAATCAGCACCCTGTGTTTAGCTCAAGGTTTGTGAGTGCACCAATCGACACTCTGTATCTAGCTGCTCTGGTGGGGCCTTGCACAACCTTTATGTCTAGCTCAGGGATTGTAAATACACCAATCGGCACTCTGTGTCTGGCTCAGGGTTTGTGGACACACCAATCAGCACCCTGTGTTTAGCTCAAGGTTTGTGAATGCACCAATCGACACTCTGTGTCTAGCTGCTCTGGTGGGGCCTTGGAGAACCTTTATGCCTAGCTCAGGGATTGTAAATACACCAATCGGCACTCTGTATGTAGCTCAAGGTTTGTAAACACACCAATCAGCACCCTGTGTTTAGCTCAAGGTTTGTGAATGCACCAATCGACACTCTGTATCTAGCTGCTCTGGTGGGGCCTCGGAGAACCTGTGTGTCCAAACTCTGTATCTAACTAATCTGATGGGGACCTGGAGAACCTTTGTATCTAGCTCAGGGATTGTAAACGCACCAATCAGCGCCCTGACAAAACAGGCCACTGGGCTCTACCAATCAGCAGGATGTGGGTGGGGCCAGATAAGAGAATAAAAGCAGGCTGCCGGAGCCAACATTGGCAACCCGCTGGGGTCCCCTTCCACACTGTGGAAGCTTTGTTCTTTCGCTCTTTGCAATAAATCTTGCTACTGCTCACTCTTTGGGTCCACGCTGTTTTTATGAGCTGTAACACTCACCGCGAAGATCTGCAGCTTCACTCCTGAGCCCAGCAAGACCATGAGCCCACCGGGAGGAACGAACAACTCCAGACGCACTGCCTTAAGAGCTGTAACACTCACCGCGAAGGTCTGCAGCTTCACTCCTGAGCCAGCAAGACCATGAACCCACCAGAAGGAAAAAACTCTGGACACATATGAACATCAGAAGGGACAGACTCCAGACACGCCACCTTAAGAGCTGTAACACCGCGAGGGTCTGCGGCTTCATTCTTGAAGACAGTGAGACCAAGAACCCACCAATTCCGGACGCACCAGGAGCTTAAGTTACACTGTACTCAATGACTAATGTCTGGGTGTTACCTCAGAACTCCCAAGTTTCCAAAACCAACACTGATTGCCTGAACTAGATGATTTTTTCCTGTACATTATTCACCAAATCCCATCTGAAGGAATTGTTCTGGAGGCTAAAGTGTATCTCTTCTTATACATACATGAGAAATAATAGATTATTCAAAATACAGCAAGAACTGTATTGCCTGTGAATTGGATGTTTGTCCTGAATCCATATGTGGAAGACAGCAATGTCAAGAATACAAGACCCTGCTTCTGTGTTCTTCAACACCAGCAGCAAAGAGGGGCTTTGCACAAGGAACATTCTATTACACGACACATGCAAAGACCCTCAGGAAGTTTCTTCTGGAATGAAATTCCAGGTTCTCCCAAATCCAATCCCTCTCATAATATAGCACCAATAATTTGGGTGGCCTAAACATCCCGCTTGCTTGCAGACTTTCATTATTTCTCTTCCATTTTCTTTAGCAAGTGATGGGGATTGGTCCAAAATAAATCAAAATGTAACACAAATTTGGAAAGGCAAAAAAGCCTTCTTCAATGTGACCAATATAGTCACTTTGATGTCTTCTATATTTAAGATTTTATGTGCTGCTTCTGAAATAAAGCTTAGTTATTTCTTGTTATATTTATAAAATAATAAACACAAAAATGGAAATTCTAATTTTAAGGTATTAAATAACTTTTCAAAAGAGCTTTTCTTTTCAATATAAAATATAGAACATGTTAATTTTATAAGCAAAGCAGTTTTACCTAATGTTTTCTGTCTCTACCTCTGATCTCTTTTCTTAGACAACCGTATAAATTGGCTTTGGCTGATAATGTCATGTGACAGCCAAATAAATTGCATAATCCAGCGTATTCCTTAACACTTCTTTCTTTTTCCCATTGTTGCCTCTCCCTCTTTTATACTCCAGCCCTTTGAAGTTTTAAGACTCTTAGGTAGATTAAGCTCATCCCCAGATTGCATATTTCTCATGTTTTCCTTTATATTCTCCTCTCTCGCTCTTTGGATAATCTCTGAGTAGGTGATATGTTTTTTTGAAGCTCCCTTGATTTTGCCAGATCTCTCTTTTTCTTTGAACTGGGACAAGGCTCTTTATATTAGATATAGCACATCTAAAAATATTGGTTGAACACCCTGTTTAAATATCATGAATTCATCCTCTGGACATTTGTATTGAGTACCTACACAGTGCCAATCCTCAAGGTATTTATAGTCTATCAGGGGAAGATTTTTTTTTTTAGTATCTTCTACCTCATTACAGAAAACATAATTTGTGCCAGTGATTTGTAGGAAACAGATGATCAACAGAATTGTTGAGTTGTAGAGTGTCATATAATTGATACACTAAGCTAACACAGTTTCTCTGTATCTTCTAAGGCAGAATAAATAGGTTGTGTGTGTATATGTTTGTGTGATTCCTTTATTGGGGGAAAATTTTACTCCTAATAATTTGTAACAAAATTTATATTTCTTTATAATTTCTAATTTCCATATATTTTACATCTTATGTCTTACCCTTTTCCAAATCATTGATCCAACATCCTCTATTTTGACAGAGTGAAAAAGTGTAGTCTAAAAATAAAGAAATCTAAGATCAATTTCTGACTTTTCTGTCATGGTTTACATCACTATATTTTGATTTAAGTCAGAGAAATCTATTTTGGTCTCTTAGTATTCAGAAAGATATTAAGCAAGTTGTTTAAATTCTCTGGGACTCAGTTTTCTCATCTGTAATATGAGGATGATATGAACATTCTCTCAAATAATAAGAATTAATTAACATAGTAAATTTAAACTGTCTATAGTAGGTAACAACAAATAAAAATGGGTTATTACACCCCAAGCAAAGTCCATGTCAACTATTTAGAGCAGAGGTTGACAACTTTTCTCTGTAAAGAGCCAGATAATAAGTGATGGCTATACTGTCTCTGTTGTAACTAAAGTACCCATAGACAATATATAAATAAGTGAGTATGACTGTGTTCCAATAAAACTTTATTTACAAAAGCAAATGTTGGGCTAGATTTAGCTTATGGGTTGCAGTTGGAGGACTCCTGACTTAAAATATTGTACCTACATTTTACCTTTTGCTGCTGTCTACTTCTTATAACCCAATTCCACTCAACTTTTCTATGAATTTGGTAACTGATTCATATTTTCTTTTAAAATCTATTAAAACATATTAGATATAAAATGTATTAATGATAATACCTGTTAATTACCACTCGGATAAAATAATATAAAATATTACAAAAGTGAGTGGAATCTTCCTAAGTATCTTTTCTCAAATCCATTCCAATTCTTATTCCCAGAGATAAATGCCATGCTCATTTTGTGTATATCATTTCCTTACATAGCCTTTTAGTTTTACCAAATATGTATATATTCTTTAAAAATATTCAGTCTATTTGACTATTTGCTATGATCTGAATGTTTATGTCCACTCAAATTCATATGTTGAAATCTTAATCCCGATGTGATAGTATTAGGAGGTGGAGTTTTTGGGAGATAGATTATGAGGTTGGAACTCTCTTAAATGGGGTTGGTACCCTTATAAAAAGACACAAAGGAGCTCGCTTTCTCTCTCTTTCTGTTTTCAGTCATAGGAAAATACGATGAGAAGTTGGCAGTCTGCATCTCAGAAGAGAGCCCTCACAGAACTTGACCATGCTGGCACTTTGCTCTTGGACTTCCAGTCCCCAGAACTATGAGAAATAGATTTCTGTTGTTTAAGCCACTCAGTCTGTGATATTTTATTATGGCAGCCAGAACTGACAAAGACAGTATTATATTTATATTATATTATATTAATGTATCCCATCTTTGTCTTTTCAGTTAAGAGGTGTTTAAGATATATCTATATGGATATATGTAGAATGGGTGCATTAATTTAATTTACACTTCTATATAATATTCAAATATATACATATACCACAATATATTAATTGATTCTTCTCCTCATAGAGATTTATGTTATCTGTACCTTTCTTTTTGCTTTTCTAAGCACTTTTGCTATGCATATTCTTATATACATGTTTTGCATGTATGAAGATTTATCTAGAGTTAAATGCATAAAAATAAGTTGCTAAATCATTTTCTACTTTTCCAAGTTTTGCCAAAGAACCTTCAAATTGGCTTTAGGAATTTACATTCTTTTATGAAGATGGGAGAATTTTAACTAATTTATATGCATTCTCTACTGTCAGGCTTTTAGTGTTTTTCACAAGTTGTTAGGCACAAATGGTATTTTATTATGATTTTAATGTGCATTTCTTTAAAAATTGGAGATAATTTTTTATATATCTATTTGTTCTTAGGTAAGGTTGCCAATACATATTATCAGATTTTCTACTGAATTATTTATATTTCTCTTATAGATTTAAAAAAGTAATTTATGTATTATGGTACCTAATTGACACTTACTAAATTTGAAAATAATCTTCCAGGGAGTTACTGGACTTTTTACTTTGTTTCAGTGTCTTTTCATGCATGGAATTAAAATTTAATGTAGTATCAAATTTATCAATCTTCCTGTGCAAAACTGAGTCAATTTTAGAAATACTTTTCTATATTAATGTCATAAAAACATTTTTTCTCCAGGTTTTCAAATTGTTTTCTCACATATTTAGGCTTATTATTTATTTGGAATTAATTTTCACTTTTCATTGTGTAAGATAAGTATCCAACTCAATTTTTTTCTATACAAATAATTTCTCCACTAAAATTTATTGAAAAGTAAATGTCTTCCCTCAATGGTTTTCAATGTAAATTTTCTGATACAATATATTTATTTATATGGTATTTCCATTTTGTTTTCTTGGTCAATTTTTCTATCATCATTCCAATACCATGCTACTTAATTACTTTAATTTCATAACAGACTGATGTTGTAGGGCAAAGAGCTTGTGTCTTGCCTATTTGTGGCTCTTGGCCTTTCCATATACATTTTGTTGAGAGGATTCTTGAAAAAATTCTTGTTTCATTACTTTTCCGTATACCCTCTTTTGTAAGTTTCTTGAAAAAAAATCTTCTATGGGAGATCCAACTGCACATAATTTTAGATTTATTTGGGAAGTATTGATAGCTTTATGCCAGTAAGTCTTTTTATCCATGAATATGTATATCTCCCTAAATGTTTAAATTTACTTAAATAAAATATGGTGTATTGATACTATTCAAATCACTTATGGTTAGTTTATTACTTTATATCAGTTGTTATAGAAAATAATGTTTTACTTAAAACAAATAATCCCATCAAAAAGTGAGTAGAAGGCATGAATAGACATTTCTCAAAAGAAGCTATATAAATGGCCAACAAACCTATGAAAAAATGTTCAGCATCACTAATCATCAGGGAAAGGCAAATTAAAACCACAATGAGATATCACCTTACTCCTGCAAGAATGGTCGTAATTAAAAAGTCAAAAAACAATAGATGTAGGTGTAGATGTGGTTAAAAGGGAACACTTTTATACTGCTGGTGGGAATGCAAATTAATACAAGCTCTATTGAAAACAGTATAGAGATTCCTTAAAGAACTAAAAGCAAATCTACCACTGGATCTGGCAGTCCCACTACTGGGTACCTACCCAAAGGAAAATAAGTCATTAGATGAAGACACATGCACACACATGTTTACAGCAGCACAATTCACAATTGCAAAGATATGGAACCAACCTAAGTGCCCACTGACCAATGAGTGGACAAAGAAAATGTGGTATATATACACCATAGACTACTACTGAGCCATAAAAAGGAATGAAATAACGTCTTTTGCAGCAACTTGGATAGAGCTGGAGGCCATTATTCTAAGTGAAGTAACTCAGGAATGGAAAACCAAATACCATATATTCTTACTTCTAAGTGGGAGCTAAGCTATGAGGATGCAAAGACATTCAGAGTTATATAATGGACTTTGGGGATGTGAAGGGGAAGAATGGGGAGGTAAGGGATAAAAGACTGCATATTGGGTACAGTGTACACTACTCAGGTGGTGGGTGCACTAAAGTCTCAGAATTTACCACTATAGAATTCATTCATGTAATGAAAAACCACTTATACCCCAAAAGCTATTGAAATAAGGAAGAAAGAAAGAAAAAAAAGGAAGAAAGAAAGAGAGAGAGAGGGAGACATGGAAAGAAAGATAGAGATAGAGAAAGTAAAGAAAGAGAATAAATAAATATATTTTATTAATAAGATATTACCACTCTGTGACTGCTGTATAGGAATGCAACTATTGCTACATATTATTTTTTGTGCTAAGCAATCTTGCCACTCATATCATTTATAATGATTTCTCTGTAGAGTATTTCATGTTTTCTAATTCAGATAATTTTATCAAATAAACATAATGGCAGTTTAGTGTCTTTCTTTCCAATCCTTATATTTCTGACTATGGGTTTGGCATAGTAGTCCTGGACTACATGACTTTATTTATTTATTTTTTTAAGTGAGGCAGACATAAACATCTGACTTCTTTTAATCATTGTCCTTATAGCAACTCAATACTATTCTTAATAGACAGATTGATTCCATGAAGAGTGATAGAATATAAACTTACAGTTGTGGTAGCTCATTATCAAAACTGGACTCAGCATGCCTGTGAAGGAAGCCAACACGGAGAAGTACAGAGTCAAATAGAAAGTGAGGAATGGATTCGTGACAACCCCATGGGCATAGCCTTTGCCTGCGTTTCTCAGTTATGCCCTGTACTTTTCAATTGTGAAAGCCAATAAATTATATTTTTCACTAAGTGAGTTGAAGTTTTATTGTTGTCACTTTTGCCAGAAAGGATCCTGACTAAATTATTCCCAGGCAAAACTCGTCTTTCCTCAGCAGTGCTCTGATCTTTACATACTGTCTCTCCAGTTTTCCTGAGACCTCTGATACTTTGTACTCTTGCTTATCCACTGAGCCTGTCTCTCCTACCCAGGCTCCTCAATTAGCCTAATCTAGTCACCAAAGTCAACTGTCCTGCTCTGTTCTAGGAGGCTAGCTCCTAGGATCTACTGCCCCAGGGCACATGAACATTCAGCATTCCAATATTGTAACTATCAATGTAGTTTACACATCTATCTTCCAAAAAAGCAAAAAGTCTTATTTGTAATTGCCTGAAATAAAATATTCATTTTTATTTGTATGTTCTCCATGAATTTAATAGTTTGTTAATCTTTTCATTTCTCTTACTAAACCAAGAACTTCTTGAGGTTGTGTATATTATATTTACAATCTAAGGACCTATGCAGTGCTAGAAGATAGACAATATTGGTTGAGTTGAAATTACTGTTAGTCATTCAATACTCTTTAATAAAGATATCTAATTTGCATATACAATTCTTTCCCTCTTGATAACATTAAGAAAATTCTACTTTATAGACAGATGAAAAACATTTCAAAAGTCAGTTTTTTATTGCCAAGAATTGGGCCCTTTCCAGTCAAAATTTTATGTTAACCTAGTTGAGATTAGACCAATAACTTAATTTGGTTTCCAAACAGAACATTTTGTTACAGCCAAAGTTGGATACATCATTCTGTGCTTTTATGTTCTTTTTTGCAGTGAGTGGAACACTTGAGATTTAAATTCTGCCTGAAAATTGGAATCATTTATTTGTGAACATGTTCTGAACACAGAAGCAAGAATGGAACATGACTAAAAGGAAACTAGGTTTCCTCTCAGGTTTTACTTGGAAGAGTTTTTTTTTTTTTCTCCTGCAGCTTTCAGAGAAATGGAAAATTGCCTATCTTCTAGTTTCTCTTCTTCACTTTTATGTACAGGAAAGCCTGGTAATCAAGGAAGGGCAGAAAACAAAGCTGAAGCACACACCCGTAATTGCAATTGCCTTTTAAAAAGGTGAGCCTTTCTACCTCTCAAACAGGTTTGACTAACAAGTCACAGATTGAGCCAAAATACAGTCCCAGTGCATTTACCTTTTCACTGTTTATGCAGTCATTTGGTAACTAATTACAAATACGTGTGTACTGCTTCTGATAGTATTTCTGTTATTACCAAAACTTCCTTCTACTGACTTCACATCAGTGTACTATCCTGTGCAACATTTAAATGAGCAAACAGTGACAGCAGCAATACATGAGCTTGGATGCCTCTGGACTCTCATCTTTTTAGGTATAACACTAAGCAAGTTACATCTTTGAATGTCGAATCGTAAGTGGTTTTTTTACAAAGTTTGCTGGTTTGAGACTGTGACAACAATGTCCTTTCTGTACGTTTTTGAGGGGTCATTGATTTGAATATTTCTTGAAGACATAAATGTTTTAAAGACAATATTTGACAGAGATTAGTTAGGCATGAGGAGAAATTTACATTGACTGTAAATATATATTTGAGTAAAATATAAAAAGCTTGAATAAACATGTAATTGAGCAACTGCAACGTGTCATAGTTTGCCACTGGTTTAAAAAACCACAACCCTTGGTTTAAAAAAATCAAGTGAATAAAAGCAAAATTAAGTATTTAAATGAGGAAAGCATTGATTAAGAATCCTGAAAACATTTTTATCAGGTATCGTTTGGTTTTTCTTAGAAGGACACGCTGTTGAATATCTCTTCTTCCTTGATAGTTGAGTAAATATATGTTGAAGTGGTGACAAAACATCAGTAAAATGAGATTTATCTGAGTTTTGAATTTTTTCCTTCATAATTGTCAGAGAGATTAGGTGTAGATAGAGAGAAATTGTGCTATTATTGTTTCTAAGAATATCCTAATTTTTGACAAAGGTTCATCAGAACGGGTAAGCATTTTATTACTCACTATTACTGGAAGACACTAGCTCATTGCGGCTTTATCACCATGTGCATCCTCAAGGTCTTTTCTCCCTCATAGTAGTCATCTGATTTTGTGGTAATTAATCGCATAATGTTTGTTCTTTCTGTTAAGCTGTAAGTTTGGAAAGAATAAGAACTACTTTATTTTTATGGCTCTATTATATTATGTGGCACATAGTAGATACTCAATAAATGTTTTATTGAATGAATAAATTAACTAATAAATCAAAGTCTGGACCAATGAAGTGGATTGACCAATAATATTTTGGTAACATTTAGAAATATTTAGGATTGAGCATGCTTAGATATAGGTAGACAGCATAATTTTTTTATTATTATTATTATTCAGTAAACATTTAAAGACTGTCTACTATAATAGGGGAATGCTTATAAAGTATTTCCAGGTATGCTTTCCTCTAGAGAAGGAGGCTGTTAGAGAGATGTTTTGACTTTCTTAATTTCTGATTAGACCAGAGCTTGAACTGTAGCTCAGAGTCTTTGCCTTTCTCAGAAACCCTGTACTAACTCGGTCAAACTCTAGATGAGAATGTTAAGAGAAGTGAGATGGGAGGAAGGGCTTTAATCTTTTACCCTATTCTCAACTTTTACCTCAGAACATTCTAGAATCTGACTCATCAGAGCACTTTCATTAGGGTGTGATTATATTTTCATAGGCTGGCTTTTATATATTTTTAATTTTTAAGTATATTTTTGTTTGTTGTTGCTATTAGAAAAAAAAACCCTCCTTTCAGGGCAAGCAACTTTTTGCACATTTTGAAAAAATACAATTAACCTTGATATAAGTTTCCTCTTCATTTAACAATGCTGTCTTTTTCCATTTTTTATTCTTAGCAATAGAAAAGAAATTTTCCTTCAGAATGAATTCCATTTTTTTTCAAGGTTTAAAAAGAGTGGCAGAAAATTTAAAAAAGCAAGAAGCAATATTAAATTCCAGCCCAAGGAACATTTTCACAATGGTTGCATACAATTCTAGACGTAGATGTTTATGATGGAAAATCTGATGTATTTTCACTCCACAGAATCACAGGAAGTAGTACTACAATTCTATTCATTCATTTTCCCCAAAACGAATTATTAGGATTAAACCCAAAAGGAAGGTTACACAGGCAAGGGGGAAAGAGAGAATCTACTGATTTCTCCATCACCATAAATTAACAGCATATAATAATGAATATAAAAGGGCTATCTGTGCACCTCAGAGAAAGAATCTACTCAAGTCCATGAGCCCCTAAAGCAAAACGAAAAGCACTTAATAAACAAATACTGCATACTCAAAGCATTGTGCTTAGGATGAAGGCCATTGCTGCTTTGTACGTCTTTGTTATTCTGCAAAAATGTGTGCTTGGGATGGATGATAATGCTTCTTGCTAAATAAATGTAAGGTAGAATAGTGAATATTCCATTTTGTCCAGAGCAGATCCCCTGCAAAGAAAATGAAGGCTGTTAAAAATGCCTCCTGCAACTTTTGGAGGTGGGAACAACTACTAATGCATCAATTAGTTGCCTTATCTTCCATTCCTTTTGTACTAAATAGTATGAACAATTAACTCTCATCGAACCATACCTGAAATATCTCTGGACAATGAATGGCACTTATAGGAGCCAACATTATTTCTGAAGATGTATGTATTTTTTAAATTTCTACTAAAACTTTTCCAGTGCAGAAGTTTCTGGCAAAATAGCCAATGCATGTTTCACTAAACAGAAACAGATATCTTTTTCAGAGAATTTTTTTCTTCATGCATCAGTTGGCTTTTTAAAACTACTGGTATTAAGTATACTTAATCTTTGAAACTTTATTAGAAAATGTAGAAGCTTCATACTACATATCTGTCTCTAAAACAAGACTTTCAAATATGAGTTTGAATTTAAAATTGAGCAAAATCCTAAGTGTAAAACATAAACATTTAAAAATTATTAAAAAATTTCTTAAGGTATGACTTTTGAATATAGTAATATTCAAAATATTTTCTTGAAATACTTTATAATGTTGCTGAGTTAAGCACAAATATATTTAAATATTAAAAAGGTTTAAATCTTATGAGCATCATGCAATCACTTTATTATCAACAATTACTGAGAGGCTATGATGTACAAGATATTGCATAAGATGAACTTAATTGAGTCAATGAGGACCTCTTCACAAAATGCTTTTAGTCCTGCATGACAGAGACATTTTAAATAGAGACATATATAAATATATATATATATATATACACATATATATATACACACACACACAAATAAGGTTCATATCAATTAAAAAAACTATGGCTATTAAGAGAAAGGAGAGGTTATTTAAATTATGGGAACCAGGGAACTGGATAAAGCTATAGATTTAGCAGTCATAAATCTGGATTCATTGTCTCACGCCTGTAATTCCAGCTACTCAGAAGCTTGAGGCGAGAGGATTGCTTGAGCCCAGTAGTTGAGGCTGCAGTGAGCTATGATAATACCACTGCACTCCAGCCTGGGCAACAGAATGAGACTCTGTCGCTAAGAAAAACAACAGAAAAAAGGAAATAATAATTGTGCTTAAAAAAACTATTTAAAAAATATTTTTTACTAGAATTTTTCTTCTATGCATATGTCATTAATAAAATTGCTCATTTGTTTTCTTTCTGCGATCATTCATTATGAAATCACCACTGAATAACCAAAGGAGTTTGTTTTCTTACAATTTCAGGCTTGATGTAGCTAGTCTTCACTTAGATGCAAATATTGGTTATCTATGTTTTGACGGAAAAAAATCCTTTTATTTAGATAGCTTAGGATGTTTTGTTTTTCTCCACCAAAGTTCCTGACTGATTGAACAAACCCGTCATGACCATAACTGTTATTGATAGATGATAGCTCTCGTGTTGCCTGAAACAGCAGCAAATTTATTCTATCTGTTCTGGAGCCCTCTGTAAACTCTCATGAGTATAAAGTACTTGTTTCCTTTTCCCTTTCCCTTCTTTATTAATTGTTTTCCCTTTCTCCATTTTTTTAAATGCCATTATAAAAATTTTCTGCAGTTTATATACCAGAAGCTACAACATCAAATTTTATTAAGGATATCAGACTCTGCTTCATTTTGAATTCATTTTGAATTCAGAGATAATGCCAAATGCAATCTCTAGCTCAATGCAAAGTACTTCCAAGTGTGACTATCTAATCCATTTTGGGGGGAGGGTATAATCAGATACAGTGATTGTAGTAAGTGAATAATTTCTTTGTCCACAGATAATTCACCAGAGCAAATATGCACCACCTGTGTATCTCTACTAACAGAGTTTTATTATAACAACTAATTATTCTGGATGTTCTGTATATTTGGCTCATTATGAGACAAACATTCAAGGCCAGGGAAAATATAGCATAACATACATGCCTTAAACAAACTACTAAGGAAGATGTGGCCACATCCTGATTTAAGATTCTGAGTATTTGAACTCAATCATGGCAATAGAATAAGATTTGGAAATGATGATTTCACCAGGTCACTTGATATTAAGAAATCTATGGTAGTTTTCAGTTGTGTTCTTCTTTAATCTTAAACATTCCAATATATACTGAAACGCAACTGCGACTCTGTTGATCTGCTGCTTTTGTTTCTTTTCATGCACTGGGGGGAGTTTTGCTTAAAGAAAATTCACCTGTTAAGTTGCTCCTGACTTTAGGATATCTTTCCACTCAAATTTTTCTTCCAGGATACCAGTTTATATTCTTTCCTGTGACTTAGGTTTCACCTTTTGTAGGATGTTTGATTAAAATTTACTTGCCCCAAACCTTTCCAGGTTACCAGTCTCACATTTCTTCCTCTTTGTTCCAGAATTCCTTCAGCACATAGGGATGGAAATCTGTGTTTCTGATTTCCTTTGTCTTTGTCATTCAGATTTAAATCCCAAGTAATCTCTTCTACATGTATTGTATTATCCCAAGACACATGTTACACAGAAATGTGGAGATGGTGAATTATCATAAATGATGCCTGATGGACCAATTTAATGAAGAGTTCATCATTACCACCTTGTTTTTAAGAATTCCCATACATATGGCATTTTGCTGGACCACTTTTGTTCACAGACCCATAGAAACTGTTTTGAATGTGATGATTATTGGGGATTGACTTCTCTTCTTAATAATTCATTTTGTAATCACAGTCTCTTACATATGTTCTTCCCCTTCCCCTGGGTGGTAAGGGTCAGAGGGATCAGATTCTCACAGAGTGAGAGTGCTCTCTTTCTAAGATTCCCATCACTGACTGGAATAATAAGTGAAGCTCACATGCAGGATGTGTAACGTCTAATTAACATGAACATGTAATTTAGTTACCTCTGGATATACATTCCTGGATCTAAGACTGGTTGTAAGGGAGAGAGAACAATTGTATTTTTATCCAGATAGTTACTGTTAGTGCCTGGTTATTACCTAGAACTCCTTGTCCATGTTTCAGCTGAGAATAGTTGCTCCCAGTAGACCAGGAGTTCCTTTCAGGCCCTGGAATTCAAGTGACTTCCCTGCTAAAGCCCCAGTAGGAGGTGCCCAAGAGTATCTGAGGGCAGGGTTTAGACACTTGTGAGTTACAGCCTGTCAGTTTCAGGCTTCACATTTGTTGTTCTTAGTTCCCAAGTGGCAAGTATTGCCTCTGTCCTGCTGACCGCACTGTCTTGTGGACATAAGACAAACGGTTCCAGGTTCTCTGTTAGCCTAGCAAGAGCATTTTTAAAACTCAGTTCCTTTCTGACCATTTTGAGTTCATGGAACTATATTGACAAAATCTGTAGATTCACCATCTACATGTCTTCAATGATTAATTTTTAAAAACCCTGGTGGTTATTGATTTTTATCCAGCAGCCCCTTCCACACCTGACATATACCATCCCTTACCACGTTAATAATTAGACATACCTCCATTGAAAGCATGTTTGATTAGCTACACAACAATTTTTGTCATAAGCCAAAATTAAAAATGATAAGGTTGTATAAAACTGTACTTTTCTCTTAACGTCCAAGCAGGAAATAACGATCTAATGTCATGCCTCCTAAGCTAAACATTGTCCTTAGTTCTAAATATAATAATATTCAAGGTTACTCTGAAGATTAAAGCTCTTGAGTTAGGATCATCCACTCACGAAAATTATACTTTGACAACACCAGGTTATCTTAAACCCTTTATCCTTAAATATAAGGAAATTAATCAAAATCAAATGGACTAAGCTCTTCTGTCCATGGAGAGTTTTGATCTTTATCCCGAATGCCCCTCAGGATGCCACATTGAGGTTTACAAGAATTTTGCTCTAGTCGACTCCTACAGGGATACCACTTGATGGTGATACTGCTACAATACATGAATTACTGGGTTGTCAAAGTGCCAAGTCCTTGCCTGGGATTGATTCTCCACTGTATTTCAGTGGGTCCCTAATAAATGTCTTTATTTCTACCTTTCAAAATAAGTGAAAAAGGATCATATAGCACTCTTCTGTACCTAGAAAAGTCAAACTACACATTTTTTTTTCTCAACAAAAAGCCTATCTAGTATACATCAAACAATTGTTATTGGTTTCTGTATTTTCTTCTAATTCTTACCCGTGCAGGTTGTTAGGATAGGAACTTGTATTCATTTACTAAGCCTGCCATAACAAAGTACCACAAACTGGGTGACCTAACAGAAATGTATTTCTCACAGTTGTGGAGGCTAGAAGTCCAGGATAGGTGTGTTAGTAGGGTTGATTTCTTCTGAGGCCTCCCTCCTTGGCTTGTAAATGGTCGTCTTCACCTCCCTCTCTTTACATTGTCTTCGCTCTGCATTTGTCTACGTCTAATCTTCACAAGTCAAATTCAGTTAGGGCCCACTGTAGTGACCTCATTTTAATTTCATTACCTTTTTAAAGACCTTGTGTCCAAACACAGTCACTTTCTAACACTTTGGGTGTCAGGACTTCAACATATGAATTTTGGGGGAATAGAATTTAGTCCATAAGAGAGCTCTAGAAAGGCGGGAACATGTCTTTAAAGTAGTTACATATATTGCTCCACAAAATATAGAGACAGCTACAATTATTCATTTATTAAAAACAAACTCAGGAAGAAAGAACAAAAATACAGCATTGTGTTTTAGGTGGCTATATTTAATATTCAAATTCTAGAAAGCATAAAATGAAACATTCACATAATATTCTTTCGATTTCTGTGGACATTTGATTAAATCACTGCTCGTAGGTTTCAAAGGAAACTTTTGGGTCTATTTATCATATCTGAGGAATCAAGAAGTACAGGAATTGTATAACTCATATGATGTCAAACTGATGAAAACCTACTCCAGTGTGTAAGTCTTCATAGTGAAATGAGCATGAATTTTTCTGTTGGAGTGCTGAATATTTATACTTGTTTGATTAATTCAAGTTTATTTAGTCAGGGGAGATACAGAAAAAAATGGCGATTTTCTTGAGAGGAAAGAACTTATTTTATGGAATTAGTATTTTAGATAACTTTTGGGGTTCTAATTTGAGCTTTAACTTCCTTCTTTATTTGCATGACTGTACTAGCGACACTGCTAAGCAGTGCCACAATGTGCAATTGTCTAGTTGATACAGGAAAGTAACCCTATGTGGATTTTTTTTGTCTGGATTGCTATGTTTTAAGCTTGTAATTAAGTATGAAGCCCATTTATTTTTCTGCTTTGTATCTGATTTTTGTTTTCTTTAAAAAGTCACAATATATCAAATGATACTTAACAAATGTTGAGTCAATTGCAAAAATAATTAATTGCCTATGGCCCACTTACACAAATTAAAATGACAAGGAATCAGTAAAGACAAGATATGTTGTAAGGCGTATGATTTCCCTAAAAGCTAAGTGACCAATGAGTAAGAAAACTCACACATAACCCAAAGTAGGTTAGATAATTAACAAGATTGGGAAAAATTCTAAGAAGCATTGCATCTTCCCAATGTAAAATAATTTTCATTAATTAATTAAGATCCACGAACAATCTAGGATGTTTAGCTTTATTTATTGCTCTATTGGAAGAGCAAAATTTAAAAAAATCTCCTGTATTTTAATGTATTCTCTCAGACATTTCATTTGTGTGACCAGCGCAAATCTCTGTATCTACTATTTAAAGATTTGTCCCACCACTTTTTAGACAATTTATGGATCTTTAAAAGTCATGAGAAAGAGGAAAAATTTCAACTAATTGTTACATAATTGCTTCCTTCAATATTAAAAGTTTTTTGGCACTCAACATAGCAAGATACTGTCTTACAGAAATAAAGAAAACTTTAAAAAATTAAGAAAAATAAAAAGATAAGACATTACTCATTTGTATATTTAAAAGAAGAGATTTTAGAATTTGCTCTAAATTGTTTACTGACTGTTCTTCATAGCCAGTTGGTCCACTAATATTGTGAACTACTAAGATGTCATTTTAGGCTTTTGCTAAGAAGACCTTCTCACCTTCTGATGCTCTTACCTTTAAAGTTCCTGCTATTTTTTTGAATGTTTGTTCCCTGCCCACCCCCTGCCACCTCACCAACCACTTCCAAATGTATATATTAAAATCCTAATCCCCAATGTGACAATATTTAGAGATGGGGCATTTGGGAGATGATTAGGTCATGGGGGCTCTCTTAGTTTATTTTCTGCGGCTCTTAACAAAATACTTGAAACTGGGTGATTTATAAAGAAAAGGAATTTATTTATTCTAGTTACAGATGCTAAGAAGTCCAAGGTTGAGAGGCTGCATCAGAATATCTGATGAGAGTTTTTTTTGCTGGTGGAGACTTTCCACAGAGTCCCAAGGCAGTGAAAGGTATCATATGGCAAGGGGGCTGAGCAGGCTAACCTGAAGATCTCTCTCTTTTTATAAAGCCACTAGTCCCACTCTAATGATTCCTTGTTAATCCATTAACCAATGAACCCATTAATCCACAAATGGGTTAATCCGTACATGAGGGCAAAGCCCTCATGGCCCTATCACCTCTTAAAGGCCCTGCCTATTCATACTGTTACATTGGCAATTGAATTTCAATATAAGTTTTTGGAATGGATGAATATTCAAACCATAGCTGGGGTAGAGCCCACACACGTGGAATTAATGCCCTTACAAAAGAGGCCCTAGAGATACCCCTATCTCCTTCCACCATGTGGGGACACAATAAGAAAGATCCAGAAAGCTAGCCCTCAACAGAACCCAAATTTCTATGAGAAATAAATGCCTGTTGTTTACAAGCCACCCAAGTATGGGTTACCTTATTATAGCAGCCTGAACAGACCAAGACAGTTAAAATAATCACAATTCCTCTACCATATACTCTAGTGGGTATGTACATACAGTCCTCGCCCTCCCCGTGTAAAATTGGTTGAAGTTATGGAATTGGTTATTGCGGAAGCTATTGGATGGGTTTTTCTTTTGAAAATGTTCAATACTTTCTGAATTTATTAAAGAAATGTAATTAAAAGTTATAATTAATCTAATTAACACAGCCAATTAGACTGTAATCCTTTCTTGCCTTGTCTCTGTGTGTTCTTGAACAGTGTTGAAAAGGAAAATACAGATTAGGCAGCGTATATTACAAATATTACAGTTGTGGTTTCATGAATGTATATGCATGTATTTTGGTGTGAAAAATGGAAAAAGTAAGAGAATAAATCACATAGTTATTAAAAGGGTTTGAATGTTCAGGTGCAGGAGTAATTCCTTTATCATTTATTAATACATCTTTTATTCATCAATTCATTCATTCTTTATTTTCTCTATTTCCCCATTAATTCATGAAAAATGCATCTATGTTATGTTTATTATTTGTCATACTAGGTGCAGGTGACATAATGATTAATGAGATAAGCATTTTATGAAGTATGAAGTTTCGTACCAAATAAAAATTGAAATCTAATAAATACCAGTTCCTAAGAGCCTGGACAAAGGCATGAAGGAAAAATTTTCCTCTACTGAAGAAAGCAGAGCCAGACGTAATAAGCTCTTTACCTCAAGAGCAGAGCTCCTTGTGGTTGGCAAAACACAGGCTTTATCTGAACTGAAACCTTAGTTAATCAAGAGATTTTCTCTTACTCAAAGCCATAACCTTTTCTGGATAATAAGGATAAGTATTTTCCAAAGGTATAATTGGTATTAAAACTGAATTTTAATATCTCAAAGGGATCTTATCTTTAGTTCAAATGTAAGACTATCCAATAGTTGCTGTAGGTCTGAATTGCTAATTCAGAGACCTTCCCAGATTTGAAGATGCACTAGAACCTTTAGCAATACCCTTGGTCTTTGATTAAGTTGCCCAAAACCATGATTTTGTCTTGCCTTTATTTTCTGACAGAATTTCAGGTCAGCGTAAATTTAGTTGGGGATAACTCTGAAATGAGGAAGAATCATTGGAGGTACTAGCCTACAAAGATTTACTGAAACTTTAAAAAGATCTTAAATCACACTGAAATCTAGGCACTTCTAGAGAGGCACTATTATCAGGTTCATGGCAAAATCTAGAAAAGTGAAGCAACATGGCCTGCTGTTTTGTTTTGTTCTGTTCAGATTTCATGTCCTAGAGATTGGCAAGCAACTTAGTGGTGTTTTAATTTAACCTTTGGAAAATCAGAAAAAAAACTCTGATAACTTATATTTTTAAAGCTCCAAATGTCAGCTAGAAAAGAATGATACTTATTTCCCTCCTATTAACATATAGGCATGCTATATTAAAACAAAATCTATAATACCTCTAACATTGAACTCTGTCACATAAGGAAACAGAATAACTGCTGTTATGTTTAATAATAAAGGATCTGTATAATAATTTTTATTATAATAGCCATTAAGTAATTTTATTTTCTTTCCTTGATGAAAAATACACATGTGTAGTATAATGTGTTAGGTTTACAAAACTAGACAGGGTTCTTTCCTTATAATACAAAGGTCATAGACAGCTTATGCTTATGATTACATACAAAAGTAACAAATGCTTTTTTATTTACTAAAGGGAATTAACCATTTTAAAACAGATAAGTCAAGCAAAGGCTGAATTGAGCAGGAAATGGTCGAAGGTCTCTCACACATCATTGGCTCAGATTCCCAAAAGGGATGGTTTTCAACATAAAAGTGAATTTTCATAGACTTAGAGCTGGGGAAACAAATGCTTATATCTGGAGAAGTTTAGCTACAAAGACCCCTGGATGGAAGAGTAAAAATAGATAATACTAATCTACAAATATATGCATCACACTTTGATAAATACCTCCCCCAAGATGGCTTCATATTAGCCCATTTTATAGATAAAGAGCTTTGGCAATGCATCAGGCAATATTGTGGAGTCAGAATTGGAACTGATGCAGTCTGACTACAGAACCCAAACACTTAATATCTACTCTAAGGAAAAATAAATAAATTATTGAGCAAGTGAGCCATGCTTTGATAGAGGGATAGAGTGGACCAGATTGCCAAGTATGATTGACATGTATAATAATCACTATCTGTCATTTACATTGGTTTAGGACATAGAACATTGTTAAAGAGTATCTCTCCAGGAGTTTTCAACATGCCTTGACAGAAAATAAGGGGGGCAGGGCATCTATACTGACAGGATATGTGGGTTGGTGAATTGAACAAATAATCACAATTCAGATGTCTTAGGTTTGCATCCTGAATTTTCTGTATACCAAAACCCATATGAGAGTTATGAAAATATGCTTGTATTAGTTTGTTCCCCTGCTGATAATAAAGACATATCTGAGACTGGGTAACTTATGAAGGAAAGAGATTTAATGGACTCACAGTTCCACATGGCAGGGGAGGCCTCACAATCTGGCAGAAAGTAAGGAAGAGCAAGTCACATCTTACATGGATAGCAGCAGGCAAAGAGAGAAACTGTGCAGGGAAACTCCCCCTTATAAAACCATCAGATCTCATGAGACTTCTTCCCTATTATGAGAACAGCATGGGAAAGACCTGCCCTTATTATTCAATTACCTCCCACTGGGTCCCTCTCATAACATGTGGGATTGTGGGAGCTACAATTCAAGATGAGATTTGGCTGGGTACACAGCCAAACCATATCAATGCTCTACAGCCCTTCAACTATAGAGAGAATAATTCACCAAGGATCCCCGGCAGGGCCAACTAAATAATTTGTAGGGACTTAAATGAAAATATGAGGCCCTTGTTCAAAAGGCAGAAAAAGTGTCAATAAAGGTAATAAAATCTACCTCTTTTTTTTTCTTCTGCAGTCCCTGTCTTGATTTCTTCATGATTTTTGAAGAAATTGATATTTAATGTTGTTCTAAGTCAAGGAAAATTAAAATCTACAATTACTATTGAATTTCACTGTTCATCTTTATGCTGTGCAATGCCTGTTTTAAATGCAAATATAAGAGCATTTAACTTTTTTGCAGGATAACTTACATTCATTCATATTTTGTAATTTGTACATGTGTATGTATTTTGATCTTACCAGAAAGACGCAAATTACACAAAAGCAACTCAAAGGTTTTTATTTCACTCTTGATACACATGCATCCTACTAACATTTTCTACCTTCAGTTTATAGATGAGTAAGGAAGGACTAAAAGAAAAAGGAACTAGGCTGCCCTACCTTCCTATTTCTACATTATCATTTTCAGCATAAGTCATGGATTAACATAGAGTAGAAACAAAAATTATGATATGATTCCTTGGTCATTCATGTTTCTTAGGATGCCTTCCCTTGTTTCTCAGTTTGAAGCAAATTCTGATTAGTGGCATCTTGGCCACTCACTGTCAGTGCTTCTGCTTGCTCAGTTGTATACATAATAAAATTACTTTGCACTGGTTTGGGTCTTACTTGAACTTCCTTACCTTGTGGACCTACCAGAATTTTTTGCTCATGGGGCATCATGAACCCCATATGTAAATGCGGCAGCAAGCAATGGCAGACATACATATTGCATATGCTTCTGTTTGTGCACACTCTCCATTGTTCCATTGGATTTCACTTGTGAAATACAAGTTCAAAGATAAAATAACAAAGAATCTCAAGATAAGAGCAGAGCACTAAAACAAGTGTGGGGTCTTCTGTAACTGCACAAGCCACATGCCTGTGAAGCTGTCATTGTCCCCAAGAACAGACTTTGAAATCTTTCCCCATGTTGAGGCCAAGGGCATGTTTACCAGAGGTTGCTCCCAGATAGGGATTGGGTACGCCAGGGCTACAAACACAAGCTCATTAGTGAGAGATACAGGAGTCTATTGACAGCTGACATTGGCTTAAGGCCTCCCAAATGGCCTTTCTAAACTTTTCGTAAACTGACCAATGGGCAAGATTTTTTTTTAATTAATCATTTCCTTCTTTCTCCTTTTCCTAGGGTCACACATCATGATCTGATGTTTCTTCCAGTCATTCTCACTTCTTGGCCATTTTTTTTTCATAGAGATCAATGCAAATGGTACCAAGTGGTCTGAAAAAACAGATAGTAAATATGGCGATGTGAAACTGGCTCACCTGCCAACTGGCAATTGAAAAAAGATGAGATCCTGATTAGTAGATGGGGCATGGAGGAATGGCATGCTGAATTGATAAAAATTTCTCATTGATGATGTCCCAGTGGAGAATGCTGTGACAAGTGACAATGCATTTGAAAAATATGGAGGAAACAACTCCTACAAAGGCAGCAAAGTTGGCTGGTTACTAAACTAAATTTTATTGACAACTGGCAGACAGATAATGAAGGACTCAGTGGTGTTAGCAAGAAGTCAATGGCTAATTGCAAGAGCCAGAAAGCCTTCATGGGATCTTACAAATAGGCCTTTACCACCTACAGTGAAAGAGCAGATAACACTGGGCTTTAGGCTGAAAATCTAATTGTGAGAGTCATAGGGCTCTAAGACATTAGAATACTCAGCCAAGGCAGGATTATTGTAGAAAATATTCCTCCACCAAGACTCCGGTGGAGGAATATCTGGGATCTTGAAAGCAGAGAATCTGAATGAATGTTCTGGAGGATGTTGACTCTGTAGACCCCTTTACCATCTGGGCTCACATAGGTGGCGCACTTTTCTGTAGTATTAGCTAGTATTTCTGCTTTGTTGGAAGAAGCAGTGGAAGTCTCTTTCCCAAAACTATTTCCTCAGGATTTGTTTCTACATTCTTCCCTGATTCTAAGACTTAGAGTTACATCCTAACATAATCTGGCTAGGGATCTACTGAGCCTGAAAAAGGGGGAAAGTGTTTATACAAATGAGAAACTGCAATAACTAGTTAGCATATACTGGCAAGAACCAGGAAAGTATTACTGGAATTAAATTTTGAGTATGCCTAATCAAAGAACAGGGTTGTAAGTCTGGATGAATAAGAATTATTGGCTTGGGGCACTCTAATGGGAACCAGTATTTAATGTCCTAGCAAGAATCTTGGGGGATGGAGCAAATTAACCACTGGGTTAGTTCCTAGAAGCTTGGAATAAACAGTGACTCACACTCAGGGAAATAGACATGCCTGAGTTTCCCTGGATGATGGTAGAGGAGGGATTAAAAAGGCAGAGTAAAGTTAATATGTTGGAATGGGTTTATTATGCAGAAGATACATCACAGAATAATGTTTCACAAGAAGGCTCAAGGAACACATGATTCACCAAGGCCACCAGTAATGTGCTGGTGTGAAGAACACTAACATTACTAAGAAGTATGATGGTACTTCTCCTCTGTATATCAAGGCTGATGTGGTCCCAGAGCTGTGCTCGTTATTCATGGAGTTGGAGAATGAATAATCAGATGTAAGAATGACCTTATGGCAGCATTTAACTTCTAGAAGCTAAGAGGCCACAATTAATGTAATGACTGGTAACCAAGAAGGCTTGACCAGCTGGGAGCTGTGAAATGTTAATAGACAATGAAATAACAAAAGAAGGCATAAATGTAGGAGCAAAAATTAAAGAGTGGTTCTTCAATAAAAAGTCATGATCCTCTCTCAAGTGTTCAGACCCGAGGCCATTTTTATATCTAGAAAACTTTGGGGAAGAAACACTTTGCAACATCACTGCAAGTGTATCTCTAATTATATCCCTAATTTTTCTCAAGGGAATCTACAGCCATTTATACATGTGAACTCAAACTGGGAAAAGGAGTCTAAACCCAGACACTTTTAGGACTATGGGAAGCAGGTTCAGAGTTGGCATTGAAATCTATAGACCCAACCATCATCATGGTTCCTGTGTTGGCGTGGATGTATATAAGGTCCAGATAATAAATGAAAACCTGGTTCATAATGGGTCCACTGGGTCCCAGATCCATCTAGTCATCATCTCTCTAATCCCCAAATGCATAATTAAAATCAGTCTATTTGGCAATTGGATTAATTGTTTCATTCATGGTCTATAGAGGAAGAACTATCATTAGACGAGGACGACCAAATGGAAACTTCTGAAACTGCCTTTCTAGGACAACACAGTAAATAGAAAACCCTATGAAATCCCAGCGGGATGGCAGGGATTAATGCCACGAATGAAGACTTAAACCTTGCAGAGCAGTGGTCTCTATAATATCTTTGCTTAATTAGCCAGTCTGACCCATTTGCAATTTGTCAGACTGGAGAATGATTTCAGACTACCATGGACTTACCCAAAGAGTACACCCTGTCACAGCTACTAGGTCAGATGTGGTATTACTCCTTGAACAGATTAATAATACCTTGGGTACAGACTACGCCACTACTGATTTGGTGTATGTTATTTTCTCTTCCAATTAAAAGAGGATCCAAAACAGTTTGTATTCATATGAAACAAACAGCAATATTTAGTGACAGTGTTATCTCAGGGCCTTCTTAACACTCTGGCCCTTTGTCACAACATAGTTCCAAGAGATCTGGACTGCATAAGCATTCTACCAAAAATGGTACTGATCTATTACATTAATGATATCATGCTGATTGGACACAATGAGCAAGAAGTGACTAGTTAACTGGAAGCATTGGTAAAACACAGGTATTCCAAAGCATGAAAGTTAAATCCTGTGAAAATTTAGGGAATAGTCACATCAGTGAGATTTATTAGTTGGTGGCCAAGAGTATGCTTGAATATTCTCTCCAAAGTAAGACACCTTTCTGCATTTTGCATACACTACCACCATGAAAGAGGCCATCTATGGTGCCTGGCGTACTCTTTGGAGGCTGGAGGCACATATAGCAAGTGACGCAGAGGCTACCCACTTAAATAGAACCTGGAGTGGGAAAGGCTACTGCAGTAATTTTAGGCAGTAGTGCAAGCTGCCTTGTCATCTAGCCTAAGCAATTCGTCAAGTGCTGTGATGTTACAAGTGTTACTGGTGGGAAAAGATGCAGTGTGGAGCGTGTGGCAACACCAAGTGAGAGAGTCACAGAGTAGTCCCTAGGATTCTGGAGCAAAACCATGCCATTCAAAGCAAATAATTACATGCCCTCTCAGAAAGAGCACTTAGCTTTGCTGAGCCCTAATGGGGGTGGCTTAATCCTGGACATAAAGTGACCATGCATCTGTAACTTTCTATTATCATCTGGATTCTTTTGGGCCCACTACATCATAAAATTGGTGGGGACAACATCCGTTCATTGTAAGATGAACATAGTACATCTAAGATCGAGTCTAAGCAGGACCAGAGGGCATTAGTAGATTTTTATGTCACATATTGCCAGTTCTGTTCCCCTGACTTGCACCTATATCAATATGGGAGATCCAGTATAACCAACTCTAAGGGAAGGGAAAAAGCCTGAACTTGATTTATGGATGGATAAGTGAGTTCCTGGATGCAAGCCAGAACTGGATGTTGGCTGCAGTGGAGCCACTTTCAGGGGTGATCCTGAGAGACAGTGGGGAGAAAAAAAATCATCCCATGAGTAGTGCCAAGAGGAGTGCACCAAGTTATGTACTTTGTATCAAAGACAAGTGGCTTGTGATATTTAATTTTAATGTGTTAACTTGTCTGGGCTAGGGCATGCCCAGATGGGTGATTAAATATTATTTCTGGCATATCTGTGAGTTTATTTCCATAAGAGATGAACGTTTGAATTCATAGACAGTAAAAAGATTGCCCTTACCAATGCGGGTCACTATCATCAAATTTGCTGAGGACTGGAATAGAACGGAAAGGTGAAGTAAGGGAAAATTTGTTCTATGCTTGAGCTGCGACTTCCATCTTCCCCTGTTTTGGGACATTGGTGTTCTTGGGCCTTAAGGCTATGACTGAGACTTACACTGGTGGTTTCCCAGGCCTTTGGGTTTGGAGTGGAACTACATTACTGGCCTTCCTGGTTCTCCAGCTTATTGACAGACCGTGGGACTCCTTAGCCTCCACTATCATGTGAGCCAACCCTTTGTAATAAGTCTCTTCCTATTTATCACTCTATCTATCTATCTAATCTCCTATTGGTTTTGTTTTCCTGAGGAACCCTAATACATACATATGGTAAAAACATATATAGATTATTGGGAAGTGGTAAATGGCCTTGTCTTCTGCTCAATAGCCCAGAAGTTAAAAAGGCTAGAATATCAGAGATAAGCAGGTCTGTTATGTGGACAGAGATGTAGAAGTGGGCACAACATGTGAAGATTGTTTATATTACATATCATTGACCACAAAAAAGTATCTACCATGGTAGATGCATTGAAAAATTGACACAGCCAGTTTTTTCATTGAATACCCTAGAATCTGCATGACAAACACAGAGATAGAGTGGCTATAGTGGCATAGATTAAGATATTAAGTATTTCCTCCCACTTATGAAGGTTAATCTAGCTATTGCTGCCTTGAAATGTTAATAATAAAAAAATTGAGCTTCCAATATAACACTATTCACTATTCCTCAAGGAGACCAGCTTGCCATTTAGTAGAATTGACCATTTGGAATGCCTCTCCTTCTAGAAGGGTCAGGAATTTATACTCACAGAGTTACCTATTTCAGGCATGAATTTACTTCACTTGTTTGTATAATCTCAGTTATCGTCACTGTCTAATTGTTTATGTAATCCTAATTCACACAAGTATGAAATCCCACACAGTATGGCATCTAATTAGCGGACCTACTTCACACTAAAGGAGATTGGGAGTGGGACGTTATGCTGGGATTTACTGCAGGTATCACATACTACACTTCCTAGAAACAACCAGCCTTATAGAATGCTGGCATGGCCTCCTAAAGACACAGCTCACTTCTAAAGTGCCATCCCAGAGAAAAGCCTCTGAAATCATGGGACGGCCTTGTAGAGGATGCGGTGCATTTGTTAAATCAGAGGCAACTATGGTTCTTTGAGCCTTAAAAAGGTAGACTCTATGGATACAGAAACCAAGGGTTAGAAGCAGGAGAGGCCCTATTTACCATTATTACGGTCATTTACCATCATCCTGAATGAAAATTTTTTCTTCCCTTCTGTACTTAGATGAAGGTCTCAGTCTCAAAAAAAAAACGGGACACTCTCAAGGCAGAGGACAAAGCAAGGATCCCAATGACCACAGTATACCTTGGAATCCTTGTGCTCAGAGACCCGCAAGTAAGTAGAAAAGACATTATACTGGTAAGGGTAATTTATGCTTATCAGCAGGAGGAGGTAAGACTATTAAAGAGAGCAGGGCGGAAAATGTGTAGAGCCTAGGTGACCCACTGGGGCAACTTCTGATACTCCTTTGCCCCACTGTAATCGTAAACTACAGTTTGCAGCAACTCAAAATTGAGAAATGAGTGATTATCAAGGGTTCACACCTTTTAGCTATCATTTACCAAGGAGAAAGGAATTTAGAATGGATAATGGAGGAGGAAAAGGACAAGTACCAGCTGTGGCCCCGGAATTAACTGAGGGACAGGGGTTATATCGATCACCTCCCACTTGGGAATTTCAACTTACAAATAAAAGCTGATTGGAATATATAGAAGAGTTGCTCTCTGAAGCTGTGTAGAGAAGATCTTCCCAGAGAAGTAGATCTTGGAGGTGCAAGGAGTGAACTCTTGCAGTGTAGAGGTGTATGCAAACTTCTTAAAGGGCTAGAGTATAAGCTTGTGGGACATACAGGTTCTTCTGCAACTACTTAACTCTGCTATTGTAGTGTGCAAGTAGATATAGATAATACGTAAATGAATAGGTGTGCCTGTGTCCAATAATATTTTATTTACAGAAACAGGAATTCTGCCCACTGGTTATAGTTTGCCAATTTCTTATCTTCAAAATGCCCCTCTTAGACCTTCAACCACAGGGGCCTTAATTAACCAAGAACTCAGCTGCTGTGCTCTGAAACCCATTTTCTTGTTTTGGCAAAGGGCAGACTTCCTATGGCTGTTCCCAGATGGTGACAAAACATAGCAGGGATACCTAATAAGACCATTTTCTTGGGGGTCACAGGACTCATCTGGCAGCTGATTTTGGCTTGAGGGCTCCTTGATAACCTTGCCAATACTTCCATAGACCTCATAGAAATCCAAGATGGCTCTACCCAACATTTTTCCCTTTCTCCTGTACTAAGGGTCAGAACGGTTACTGGGTCTGATTGCTTTCTCAGACTAATAGACACCCTCCCCATTTTCTCTCACATGTAAAATCTTGGCACATATACTTCTTTCTCAGCATATGCTTCTTTGAGTGCCTGGACTAATACAACAGAAAATCTGATCTTCTGTCACTATTTACAAAGGAAGGGGAAGATCCCACTCAACCTCCACTCTACAGGAACAGGATGCTCTTCTCTTGTTGCTGCAATCCAGAGTCCTCAGTTTGGGGCTGGATTGTGTGAATTTTGTTTCCACTTCCAATAGGGTTAACCATCATGTTCAGTAGTTAGGGTGAGAGGGAAATCTTAAATAATATATAACTTTCTATATTAATATTTCAACCACCTGGTTGAGCTGCTTCTCTTATTCCTTGGCAAAGACCGCAAAAAGATTGTACAGGAAAGGCATTCGGGGCAGAAAATTAATTCCTAGTTAAAAAGGGCCAGCGCTGCCACAAGCAAACAATTTTTTTCTTTTTTCTTTCTTTCTTTCATGATAACCCTTTGGCTACAGATCATGCAGGCTTTCTAAAGAAGCAGCTGCTCAGATAATAACCTTTGGCCATGATGCAACCAATTAATTACTGTGCCATCCCATAAAAGGCTCTGCAGAGCCATGTTGTCTTTTGCATATTAGTTGTCTCAAAATTTTGGTAATATCCCAATAAGCTAACCTCAAATACAAATTTACAAATCAACATTTTCTACTGCCTTGCCTCCAAAGTTCAATTATCTATAAAGCATTTGATATGTGTAGATGAGTGAGGCTATGGACTTGCCAAACATATTTGTGATTGCATGACACATGAAAGTAAGCACTCTGTTGGTTCACAGAAGCATGAACTGATAAAGTGGTTATACACACACACAGACACATGTGCAAACATATAGTCTTCATGTAAACCTTTGGTAAATGGTATGGTGACATTATGTATTAACATGGAAATATGAGACATTCAGAATGCATATGGCTGGTCTGAAGATTTTTTTTATTCTATCATCCATACCCAGAACTCAAGTTTAAACTTTTTTCTATCATTGTGGTTTTACTTCTTTATATGATATTTTAATAACATTGCATAATTTAGGACTCAGAAATGCAGCAGATACCATAGGGAAGATCTTTACAAACTTCAATGTAAACAGAAATCACCTCACCAAATGCATATTTTTATATTCAGTAGGTCTGAAGTGAGCACTAGGATTGCATTTCTAACCTAGCTGACAGGTGCTGTAGGTACTGCTATTCTGTGAACCACACTTTGAGTAGCAAGACTGCAATAACTGTTCTATTTGTGCCTTTGTCTCTCCAATTTCCCCTGCCAGTGATTGGTTAGAGGCAATCATGACAGAGTTCTTACTAATGAGATTTGAGGGAGAACTGCTAGAGCAGTGGTCTGCAAGATTTTTGGCACCAGGGACAGGTTTTATGGGAAGACAATTTTTCCTTGAACCAGGGGTGAGGGAATGGTGTCAGGATAATTTAAGTGCATGACATTTATTGTGCATTTTATTTCTATTATTATTACCTTGTAATATATAATGAAATAATTATACAATTCACCATAACGTAGAAACAGTGGGAACCCAGAGCTTGTTTTCCTCAAACTAGATGGTCCCATCTGGGGGCGATGGGAGACAGTGACAGATCATCAGGCATTAGATTCTCATAAGGAGTGTACAACCTAGATCCCTCGCATGTGCAGTTCACAGTAGGGTTTGTGCTCCTGTGAGAATCTAGTGCCACTGTTGATCTGATAGGACACAGAGCTCAGGAGGTAATGTGAGAGAAGGGGAGTGGCTGTAAATAGAGATGAAGTTTCACTCACCCACTCACCTCCTGCTGTGAGACCCAGTTCCCAACAGGCCACGGACTGATACTGGTCCATGGCCCTGGGGTTGGAGACCCCTGTGCTAGAGGGCTCCTGGGAAAGTAGTTCTCACACCTAAAAAGAAGACACTACAAGGTAAAATCTTATTTGTTTTTGTATGCTCTTATTTCTGGATGTGATGACTGAAATTATTGCCAGTATCTTGCAACAATCCTGTGGATGAAGCCAGCACAGGGAAAAGGTCAAAACCAAGATAAAAGCAGAAAACCTAAGCAATATGACTGCAGTCATCCTGTCTTTGGACTTCCTATTTGAGATAATTGTCTTATTGTTTAAGACAATTTAAGCCATGTTTTGAAAGTTACCTCGACTACAGAGAGAAATTTAGAAATCACCTTTGCTCCACCCTGTGTTATCTGTACCTAGGTTTATGCTCTTGGACATGGTTTGGTTTTCTCATTTATAAAATGGGCATGATAATACTAGTAACCACCATATAGGATTGTTGTGATTTTTAGATGGGATTTTTTGTGTTAACCATTTAGTGTGTGGAATATACTGCATGTTCCATAAGCAAACCAAAGAAAAAAAGATTGCCCAGATTCAAATTGTGTACTTCTAGTGTTGGGAAACTCACTAACTCATGTGACAGCCTATTGTTATGCACTCTCCATTGTTCAAAAATGATTTTTTGTTGAGCTAAAAGATCTGTTTTCCTCTTCCTTTCAGCCTTTAATCCTAGCTCTGACCTCTGAGGCACAGGAAATAAGTATAACCCTCTTGTCCATGACAGTCCTGAAAGGATTTACAAATAGTTTTCATGACCTACTGCTAAATCTTCTCTTTCCTGGGTAAACCACCTCAGGTATTTCAAATGTTTCTCACATGTCATGGTTCCTATTCTTTTCTATTCTGGTCCTTTTTGGTCCTTCTTTGTTTTAGCTAAAGACTACATACTTAATGGTACTTTTTGTTCTAATCAGAACTGTAGCTCACAATTCTATTTCTAAGACTAAAATTCATGCATTGCTTATATACAATTATCTACTTAATTGATTTAAATTGTCCAGTGTCCTGTTTGCACATCCTCTATGTTTATTAGTTCTCAAGTGGGCTGCATTAAATTGGGTATGCACTGAGGGCAAACAACATCTACCATCAAAGTGTATATTTCTGGTTTGCCCCTGACAATCTTGTTTTATTCCCGCACTCTTACTGTAATTAACTCTCATTTTTACTTTAAAGGTGTCTTTATGTAGAGGATAAATGATGTCATCACCCTAGTTCTAAGCTATAAATAGATTTTTAATACTAGTTCTTGATTGATCCTTCAAAAGCTGTTCACTTTTAGTTAATGACTAAGAGTTCTCATTTCTAGAGGATTTACAATTTATAGAGCAAATAATGTGGTTTGTCAACTCTAATATTTTCTAAGTAAATCTTCTATTGTACCAAGTACAGGTTCCAGACCTTCTTATAACCTCTTCACCTTTCAGTAATCTCAATTTGGTGGGGTTTTTTTTTTTCAATTTGGCTCAGTAGTTAGTAAATGGGATGCCAATTGATCCTCATACCGGTTTATATAATATACTATCTTGAGACTACTTCAGAAATACAAACATAAATAAGAGAATCTTCCATTCACCCAGGAAATGGCTATGGCAGACAGGAAAAGGCAAAACAAAACCTGATGACTAATAAAGGATGTTAGTCTAGAAGAAAAGTCTCCTTTACTCTGTGTTAATTGTTAAATAAACCATGAAGAAGGCACCCTTTATTTAGGTGAAGCGTTCCACTTAACGTACTGGGGAGATCATTGAGGTGGCATTTATGTCTATGTTAGAACTTGAATTTCCAGAAAACTTTCCAACAGGCTGAAACTGTCAACTTTATGTAGATGAAAAGTGTCAAGTTGAATTCCATTGTGAGCAGTGCAGAAGGGTTAGTGTGCAGTGTGAATGAGACAGTATGATGTCCTTATCAGACACCTGATTTTTGCTTCTAATGAACAAATCACCACAGTATTATGTCAGAATGAGACTTTGACTTTCGAAGAGGATAGAAAATTGTGATTCAAGTGAGTGTTTTGCCTAAGAAATAAATATACAGTAAATGGGAAATGTCGCGCCATTAAGTTCTTCTCAGCAAAAGATCCACTTTTTTTTTTCCTTATTCTTACCCAGTATTCAAAATAGTGGAATAGAATTCCTGTTTTTTTCTTTGAGACAGGCAATGGAATGGAAATGGAGATACGAGAATCAACTTCTCATTAGTAATTTGAACACATATTGAATTGTGTTCTTATGTAAATAGAGCTAACACACTGATTCTGATGTTTTATGGTTAACAAAAAATTTTCAAGAAAATCAAACTGTTTATTTTATTATACTTAAAATTTGCTTTTAAAAATATGATTGTAACAATGTTTTTGGTTTTCTTTTTTCTTTCCTTTGCATTGTTTTTAGTAGGTGACTGTATTCTAAAACTTGGGCAGAATATAAGATCTATTTTACTTTTATATTTTAGAAAAATGTTTACATTACATGGTAAAACTTTCAGAATTCCCTTCAATGGCTGAATTTGATTTTAAGCCCTTGTTCTGCTTGCCACTGTGACAATTCTTCTGAAATGCATAAACTTTTGTCAGATATTTATGAGAATTTGTGTGGAAATTAAGCATCACCCTGTCTCTGGGTAAACTCTCCAATCCCTGAAGTTTAGACAGACTATGATTCAATAAAGCAGGATTGCAACATCCGCACACTCTGAATGATCAGACAAGCTACATAAAAAAAAAGACCATATAGTTGTCAACAGACTTAAGGTAGTGTCAACCTCTGAATCCAATGAAAATACAAACTCCAGGGTTTCAAGAAAACAGTGCAAATTTTTGTAGATTTTTCATGGTACTATGTCTAATTTATTTTTTTTTAAGTTAGTAAAAGTTAGGCCTGAGGTATTGCCAGCCCAGTCCATAGTACGGGAAAGATGTGAAAGTGGGTTTTATCTAGGAGGGCAATCTCCAGTGAATGGCCTGGCTAGGCGTTTGTTTGGACAGGGCTCCAGGAAGCAATGAGGTGCCCCTATCAATGGGCAGAGCATGGCAATAGGGTTCTAGGGTGGGCAATAAAACCAGAGCCTCAGAGGCAATATTTGGTTTAGAAGAATGTGTTTGGAGTTAGAACTTAGTTATGCCAAACTACTTACCTCGTTGAGCAATCATTCTCTCATCTAACAAAATGCTGATAATAGAATCTCCTTTATAAGGATTAATTGAATTATGTATGTAAAGCTCTAGGATTTTGCCTAGCTCAATGCTTAATAAATGGCAATTCCCTTCTGCCCTCAAGGAAGGATATTGGTAAGGGAGATGCAGAGTTCCAGTCATCAGAAATGAGTGAATTAATCTAAAAATCCAAGTCATTAGAATGTTTGCATGAAATACTGCCAAGGCTAGCTGCATAATTTGGGGGAACAGTACAAAATGCAAATAACTTTTTCAAAAATTATTTAGAATTTCAAGACAGTTGTAGCAGAATCAAATCAAGAACTGTGCCCTTCAAAACATAAGAGTCCTGTGCAACGTGCAGGTTATACACCCATGAAGTCCGCCTTGATTACTGCAATTATTTCCTATTTTTCTTGCATTCATCTTGTTCCTCTATAATCCATTCTTCCCACATCAGAAGAGGTGACCTTTTTTTTTAATCTGTCAAATTTTTTTATTTTTATTTGTTTACATTTTCTTTTTTTTATTTTTTATTTTATTTATTATTATTACACTTTAAGTTTTAGGCTACATGTGCACAATGTGCTGGTTAGTTACATACGTATACATGCGCCATGCTGGTGTGCTGCACCCACTAACTCATTATCTAGCATTAGGTGTATCTCCCAGTGCTATCCCTCCCCCCGCCCTCCACCCCACAACAGTCCCCAGAGTGTGATGCTCCCCTTCCTGTGTCCATGTGTTCTCATTTTCAATTCCCACCTATGAGTGAGAATATGAGGAGTTTGGTTTTTTGTTCTTGTGATAGTTTACTGAGAATGATGATTTCCAATTTCATCCATGTCCCTACAAAGGACATGAACTCATCATTTTTTATGGCTGCATAGTATTCCATGGTGTATATGTGCCACATTTTCTTAATCCAGTCTATCATTGTTGGACATTTGGGTTGGTTCCAAGTCTTTGCTATTGTGAATACTGCCTCAATAAACATACGTGTGCATGTGTCTTTATAGCAGCATGATTTATAGTCCTTTGGGTATATACCCAGTAATGGGATGGCTGGGTCAAATGGTATTTCTAGTTCTAGATCCCTGAGGAATCGCCACACTGACTTCCACAATGGTTGAGTAGTTTACATTCCCACCAACAGTGTAAAAGTGTTCCTATTTCTCCACATCCTCTCCAGCACCTGTTGTTTCCTGGCTTTTTAATGATTGCCATTCTAACTGGTGTGAGATGGTATCTCATTGCGGTTTTGATTTGCATTTCTCTGATGGCCAGTGATGGTGAACATTTTTTCATGTGTTTTTTGGCTGCATAAATGTCTTCTTTTGAGAAGTGTCTGCTCATGTCCTTTGCCCACTTTTTGATGGGGTTGTTTGTTTTTTTCTTGTAAATTTGTTTGAGTTCTTTGTAGATTCTGGATATTAGCCCTTTGTCAGATGAGTAGGTTGCAAAAATTTTCTCCCATTTTGTAGGTTGCCTGTTTACTCTGATGGTAGTTTCTTTTGCTGTGCAGAAGCTCTTTAGTTTAATTAGACCCCATTTGTCAATTTTGGCTTTTATTGCCATTGCTTTTGGTGTTTTAGACATGAAGTCCTTGCCCATGCCTATGTCCTGAATGGTAATGCATAGGTTTTCTTCTAGGGTTTTTATGGTTTTAGGTCTAACATTTAGGTCTTTAATCCATCTTGAATTGATTTTTGTATAAGGTGTAAGGAAGGGATCCAGTTTCAGCTTTCTACATATGGCTAGCCAGTTTTCCCAGCACCATTTATTAAATAGGGAATCCTTTCCCCATTGCTTGTTTTTCTCAGGTTTGTCAAAGATCAGATAGTTGTAGATATGCGGCGTTATTTCTGAGGGCTCTGTTCTGTTCCATTGATCTATATCTCTGTTTTGGTACCAGTACCATGCTGTTTTGGTTACTGTAGCCTTGTAGTATAGTTTGAAGTCAGGTAGTGTGATGCCTCCAGCTTTGTTCTTTTGGCTTAGGATTGACTTGACGATGCGGGCTCTTTTTTGGTTCCATATGAACTTTAAAGTAGTTTTTTCCAATTCTGTGAAGAAAGTCATTGGTAGCTTGATGGGGATGGCATTGAACCTGTAAATTACCTTGGGCAGTATGGCCATTTTCACGATATTGATTCTTCCTACCCATGAACATGGAATGTTCTTCCATTTGTTTGTATCCTCTTTTATTTCATTGAGCAGTGGTTTGTAGTTCTCCTTAAAGAAGTCCTTCACGTCCCTTGTAATTTGGATTCCTAGGTATTTTATTCTCTTTGAAGCAATTGTGAATGGGAGTTCACTCATGATTTGGCTCTCTGTTTGTCTGTTGTTGGTGTATAAGAATGCTTGTGATTTTTGTACATTGATTTTGTATCCCGAGATTTTGCTGAAGTTGCTTGTCAGCTTAAGGAGATTTTGGGCTGAGACAATGGGGTTTTCTAGATATACAATCATGTTGTCTGCAAACAGGGACAATTTGACTTCCTCTTTTCCTAACTGAATACCCTTTATTTCCTTCTCCTGCCTAATTGCCCTGGCCAGAACTTCCAACACTATGTTGAATGGGAGTAGTGAGAGAGGGCATCCCTGTCTTGTGCCAGTTTTCACAGGGAACGCTTCCAGTTTTTGCCCATTCAGTATGATATTGGCTGTGGGTTTGTCATAGATAGCTCTTATTATTTTGAGATACCTCCCATCAATACCTAATTTATTGAGAGTTTTTAGCATGAAGCGTTGTTGAATTTTGTCAAAGGACTTTTCTGCATCTATTGAGATAATCATGTGGTTTTTGTCTTTCGTTCTGTTTATATGCTGGATTACATTTACTGATTTGCGTATATTGAACCAGCCTTGCATCCCAGGGATGAAGCCCACTTGATCATGGTGGATAAGCTTTTTGATGTGCTGCTGCATTCAGTTTGCCAGTATTTTACTGAGGATTTTTGCATCAATGTTCATCAAGGATATTGGTCTAAAATTCTCTTCTTTTGTTGTGTCTCTGCCCGGCTTTGGTATCAGAATGATGCTGGCCTCATAAAATGAGTTAGGGAGGATTCCCTCTTTTTCTATTGATTGGAATAGTTTCAGAAGGAATGGTACCAGTTCCTCCTTGTACCTCTGGTAGAATTCGGCTGTGATTCCATCTGGTCCTGGACTCTTTTTGGTTGGTAAGCTATTGATTATTGCCACAATTTCAGCTCCTGTTATTGGTCTATTCAGAGATTCAACTTCTTCCTGGTTTAGTCTTGGGAGAGTGTATGTGTCCAGGAATTTATCCATTTCTTCTAGATTTTCTAGTTTATTTGCGTAGAGGTGTTTGTAGTATTCTCTGATGGTAGTTTGTATTTCTGTGGGATCGGTGGTGATATCCCCTTTATCATTTTTTATTGCGTCTATTTGATTCTTCTCTCTTTTTTTCTTTATTAGTCTTGCTAGCGGTCTATCAATTTTGTTGATCCTTTCAAAAATCCAGGTCCTGGATTCATTAATTTTTTGAAGGGTTTTTTATGTCTCTATTTCCTTCAGTTCTGCTCTGATTTTAGTTATTTCTTGCCTTCTGCTAGCTTTTGAATGTGTTTGCTCTTGCTTTTCTAGTTCTTTTAATTGTGATGTTAGGGTGTCAATTTTGGATCTTTCCTGCTTTCTCTTGTGGGCATTCAGTGCTATAAATTTCCCTCTACACACTGCTTTGAATGTGTCCCAGAGATTCTGGTATGTTGTGTCTTTGTTCTCGTTGGTTTCAAAGAACATCTTTATTTCTGCCTTCATTTCATTATGTACCCAGTAGTCATTCAGGAGCAGGTTGTTCAGTTTCCATGTAGTTGAGCGGTTTTGAGTGAGCTTCTTAATCCTGAGTTCTAGTTTGATTGCACTGTGGTGTGAGAGACAGTTTGTTATAATTTCTGTTCTTTTACATTTGCTGAGGAGTGCTTTACTTCCAACTATGTGGTCAATTTTGGAATAGGTGTGGTGTGGTGCTGAAAAAAATGTATATTCTGTTGATTCAGGGTGGAGAGTTCTGTAGATGTCTATTAGGTCTGCTTGGTGCAGAGCTGAGTTCAATTCCTGGGTATCCTTGTTGACTTTCTGTCTCATTGATCTGTCTAATGTTGACAGTGGGGTGTTAAAGTCTCCCATTATTATTGTGTGGGAGTCTAAGTCTCTTTGTAGGTCACTCAGGATTTGCTTTATGAATCTGGGTGCTCCTGTATTGGGTGCATATACATTTAGGATAGTTAGCTCTTCTTGTTGAATTGATCCCTTTACCATGATGTAATGGCCTTCTTTTTCTCTTTTGATCTTTGTTGGTTTAAAGTCTGTTTTATCAGAGACTAGGATTGCAACCCCTGCCTTTTTTTGTTTTCCATTGGCTTGGTAGATCTTCCTCCATCCTTTTATTTTGAGCCTATGTGTGTCTCTGCATGTGAGATGGGTTTCCTGAATACAGCACACTGATGGGTCTTGACTCTTTATCCAATTTGCCAGTCTTTGTCTTTTAATTGGAGCATTTAGTCCATTTACATTTAAAGTCAATATTGTTATGTGTGAATTTGATCCTGTCATTATGATGTTAGTTGGTTATTTTGCTCGTTAGTTGATGCAGTTTCTTCCTAGTGTTGATGGTCTTTACATTTTGGCATGATTTTGCAGCGGTTGGTACCGGTTGTTCCTTACCATGTTTAGTGCTTCCTTCAGGAGCTCTTTTAGGGCAGGCCTGGTGGTGACAAAATCTCTCAGCATTTGCTTTTCTGTAAAGTATTTTATTTCTCCTTCACTTATGAAGCTTAGTTTGGCTGGATATGAAATTCTGGGTTGAAAATTCTTTTCTTTAAGAATGTTGAATATTGGCCCCCACTCTCTTTTGGCTTGTAGAGTTTCTGCCGAGAGATCCGCTGTTAGTCTGATGGGCTTCCCTTTGAGGGTAACCCGACCTTTCTCTCTGGCTGCCCTTAACATTTTTTCCTTCATTTCAACTTTGGTGAATCTGACAATTATGTGTCTTGGAGTTGCTCTTCTCGAGGAGTATCTTTGTGGCATTCTCTGTATTTCCTGAATCTGAATGTTGGCCTGCCTTGCTAGATTGGGGAAGTTCTCCTGGATAATATCCTGCAGAGTGTTTTCCAACTTGGTTCCATTCTCCCCGTCACTTTCAGGTACACCAATCAGACGTAGATTTGGTCTTTTCACATAGTCCCATATTTCTTGGAGGCTTTGTTCGTTTCTTCTTATTCTTTTTTCTCTAAACTTCCCTTCTCTCTTCATTTCATTCATTTCATCTTCCATCGCTGATACCCTTTCTTCCAATTGATCGCATTGGCTCCTGAGGCTTCTGCATTCTTCACGTAGTTCTTGAGCCTTGGTTTTCAGCTCCATCAGCTCCTTTAAGCACTTCTCTGTATTGATTATTCTAGTTATACATTCTTCTAAACTTTTTTCAAAGTTTTCAACTTCTTTGCCTTTGGTTTGAATTTCCTCCCATAGCTTGGAGTAATTTGATCGTTTGAAGCCTTCTTCTCTCAGCTGGTCAAAGTCATTCTCTGTCCAGCTTTGCTCTGTTGCTGGTGAGGAACTGCGTTCCTTTGGAGGAGGAGAGGCGCTTTGCTTTTTAGCGTTTCCAGTTTTTCTACTCTGTTTTTTCCCCATCTTTGTGGTTTTATCTACTTTTGGTCTTTGATGGTGGTGATGTACAGATGGGTTTTTGGTGTGGATGTCCTTTCTGTTTGTTAGTTTTCCTTCTAACAGACAGGACCCTCAGCTGCAGGTCTGTTGGAATACCCTGCCGTGTGAGGTGTCAGTGTGCCCCTGCTGGGGGGTGCCTCCGAGTTAGGCTGCTCAGGGGTCAGGGGTCAGGGCCCCACTTGAGGAGGCAGTCTGCCCATTCTCAGATCTCCAGCTGCGTGCTGGGAGAACCACTGCTCTCTTCAAAGCTGTCAGACAGGGACATTTAAGTCTGCAGAGGTCACTGCTGTCTTTTTGTTTGTCTGTGCCCTGCCCTCAGAGGTGGAGCCTACAGAGGCAGGCAGGCCTCCTTGAGCTGTGGTGGGCTCCACCCAGTTGGAGCTTCCTGGCTGCTTTGTTTACCTAAGCAAGCCTGGGCAACTGGCGGGCGCCCCTTCCCCAGCCTCACTGCCGACTTGCAGTTTGATCTCAGACTGCTGTGCTAGCAATCAGGGAGACTCCGTGGGCGTAGGACCCTTGAGCCAGGTGCCGGATATAATCTAATTTCCTGGTGCGCCATTTTTTAAGCCCGTGGGAAAAGTGCAGTCTCTGGGTGGGAGTGACCCGATTTTCCAGGTGCCGTCTGTCACCCCTTTGTTTGACTAGGAAAGGGAACTCCCTGACCCCTTGCACTTCCCGAGTGAGGCAATGCCTCACCCTGCTTCGGCTCACGAACGGTGCACGCACCCACTGACCTGCGCCCACTATCTGGCACTCCCTAGTGAGATGAACCTGGTACCTCAGATGGAAATGCAGAAATCACCAGTCTTCTGCGTTGCTCACGCTGGGAGCTGTAGACAGGAGCTGTTCCTATTCGGCCATCTTGGCTCCTCCTTTTTGAGGTGACCTTTTAAGTACATAAACTTCATCCTGTTATTGCATCCCTTAGTCTTAAACCGAATGACAGTGTAACATAGAGAGAAGGCACAAAGCACAGGGTTTAAGTGGGTGGGCTCTGAAGCTAGAGGTTCCTGTCTTCGTTTTGCTCTTTGGATTCTTTGATTTTTTAAGATTATAAACTCAGTAGGCTGTGCTATAAAATGACCTGTTAATAAATATCTACCCATATGGGGTTGTTGTAGGACTAAATGAAATAGCTCATATAGAGCACTTGAAATACTGTTTGGTGCATAGAATCACTTGATATTATTATTGATATCAAAATATTAGAGACTATTATGTCAAATAGGACAGTCTTAACATGGCCCACAAGCTTTCCATCATCTGCTTGTGTCCACCTCTCCAAGCTCACCTCCTGCTGCTCCTTTCTCATTACCCACCAGACACAGTAGTATTTTGTTTTGTGTTCTAGTTTCTCAGGATCAACAAACTTTTTTACACTGCCAAATCTTTGCTATTCTCTCAACAGGGGATGTTTTTGTCAGACGTATCTTTTAGTTTCAACTGAAATGTCCTTTTCTTAAAAAAGACTTCCATGGATCCCTCATTGAAATTACCTCCATCTGTGATTATCTAGCACATTACCATAATCTTCTAATTTGTGGCATGCTTTATAATTTGAATTTATATTTAATTGTATGCTTATTTAATGCCCACCTTTGCATGAGTGTAGGAAATCACGCATGATTGGTTTAATAACTTACCTCACCTCAAGTACTCAACAGAGTGCTTGGCCATGGAAAGTGATTGATAGGTATTATTGAATAAAGGAATGAATAAATGATAATACATATTTAGAAAGCAAGACCTTTTGGATAAATTAGGTATTTGGGTGAGAGGCAGCAGTTGAAACTAACATAAAATATTAGAAAGCCTAATTGAGAAGATACTAACAGGGCAAACAGTTGCTTAAATAATTTGCCTTGGTGATAATAAAGTAGTAGTTTTTGAGTCCTTGTTATGTGTCAGGTATTTGACTAAACATTTAATATATCATCTCCTTTAATTTTTACAAAATTCCTAAAAATTAGGTACTATTGTTAGCCTCCTTTGGCATAGCTTGGATTTGGTAAAACTGACATTTTAACTGATCTATTTGACTTTTAAGGTAAGCTACTCTTAGGAGCTGAATTACACATTTGCTATTAATTTTTACCTCATTTTGAATGCTATCTCATTTAGGCTATTATCTCCTTGTATGAAATATACCAATTTTTAAAAAAATTATTGAAATGTAGTTTAACACAACAAAATTGACATAATTTAAGTGTACAGCTCAAAGATTTCTGGTAAGTGTACAGAATTATGTAATAACCACTATTATGACATAAAACATTTCCAACACCAGACAAAGTTCCTTTTTGTCCTTCAGCAGTTTGTCCCTTTTCCCATCCCTTATCCCTGGCAACTACTGATCTACTTCCTATCTCTCTAGTTTTCCTTTCCCCCAGTGTGGTGTAAATTGAATGATACAGTATAAACTCTTTTGTGTCTAACTCTTTTCACTTAAGGAAATGTTTTGGATCCATCTGCATCAAGGCAAAACCATGGTTAATTCCTTTTTACTGTCAAGTAGTACTCTTGCATATGAGTGTCACATTTTTGTTGTCTGTTTACCAGTTGATAGATATTTGAGTTGATCCTAGTTTGGGGCTAACATGAATAAAGCTGCATGAACATTGGTGTACAGGTCTTAACGTGAACATGCATCCATTAGATTTTAGACAGTGAGGTATTTGAAAATGGACACAAACTCAGCTTTTAATGAGATCCTTACTGGAGGACCTTTAAATGAGAACCATTAGTAGTTAATTTTTCCACTTTATGTGATCTCTGTTTTCAATGGAAACTTTCTCTACCCTAATTAAAAAACATGATTTTAAAGCCATGAAAGACATATCAACAATAAATAACTTAAATTTCTTGATTCTTTCCATACAGAATCTTTACTCCTTCATTTGTCAACTAAAGAATGGCAGTACATGGTAATAATTTTTAATTTTCTCAATATTGGCAAAAAGAACTCTCAGATATAACTCTTGGACTAAGGCATTCCATAAAATTGCAATGTAACTTCCAAATCCATGGGTGTGTACTTTATGTTTGGAAGAAATTAATACCCAAGGTGTTGGGAAACTAAAGATCTTTTTAAGAAGGTGACTGAGTAAAATGAAAGGGCAAATGATAAACTATTTCAAAGTAAATACACTATGATTAAAAATGTTAATAATGGATTTTCATGATTGATAATATTGACATAGTTTAAAGCTCATTCTTTGAGACAAATATGTTTTAAGTAAGACTTAAACTCTGTAAAATTTGTTTTTGTAGCTGCTTTTTCCCACAAATGAATCAGCGTTAGTTTTCCGTCATAATTGGTATTGCAATTCTTCCTTGCTTTTGACTGGCCAGTGGTTAAGGATGAGGCTTTCTAACATGTCAAGTGTTGTGTGTATTTCCACCTCAAAATATGTTGGAGAAGAGCTCTCAGAAGTTTTCTTTCCCAAGAGACTCAAGTCTTTGCTTTCAAATATCCTACAAAGTCAATTTATCATTAATCCCACAGAGTTCTATTTTTGTGTCCACATGTAGTTTAATTTCCTTGGATTTTGAATGTAACATTGTTAACCTTTCTATATTATAAATTTATAAAAATATCTTTGTTTTCAAAGTAATCCCAGGTCTAGGAAAATACAAAATTTGAGAGGCAGTATTTAAATTATTATATTTGCTATGGTTGCCTAAAATTCTAATATAGAAATGTGTTATGGAAAAAAAGAAAAACAAAGCAAAAATTCACTCCACTCTAACTTCCAAGGCAGTTCCAATACCTATTTAATTACAGAAGCAGAGATATCAAGCTGTGAATGAATATTGCTCTATCTTTTACCACCTCTTTTCTTTCTTTCTGTTTCTCAGTTTGTGAAGGGAAATACATGAATACAGGACAAGGTCAGGCAAAGGAACACTCATTACTAGCTAGCATTTTGGCCCCAAACCCCAATGCAGTCTCTTGCTCAGCTAAGTAGGAACATGTAGAAAACTAATTTGCTTAGATTTATAGCCATATCAGTCAAAGCACTCTCTTTCACATCGTATCTCAGGTCTTATGACTTTAGTAATAAAGAATGGCCAGGCTAGGTCATACCAGGTGAAAAGAATAGAGATTTCCTCTCTGTCTCAAAAAGAGTTGGACTAGATTGCTCATGGCTTAATCCACTCAGCTTGAGAAAAAAAGCCTCACACAAAGGAAAAAGAGTCAAGAGGAAGCCGGAGAAAGGGAAGATGGATGACCTCAGGCCTCTCACACACTGTCCTTCAATTTCAAGGGCTAAGCATTCTGCTACGCTATCTTTCCCCTCAAGACCTATGAAAGGAAATTCATATAAAAAGAGATAGAGGGGACATTTCCCTTAATACATTTTCTTCTGTTCCCACTAAATCCGATCCTAATTCATCCCAATAAATGTTTATTATTTTGATTAATCAATAAGCAACAGTCCTCCTTCATAGAGGTAGGGTGAGAAGAGAGACAAGTTTTGAACTGGCTGCACTAAGTTCACTGTGTATACATTGAGTTTCCTGAGCCTTGAGTGTAACACCATCAACTCTCTTCTATTCTGATTACCTCATAGGCTTTTTGTTTTGAGATAAATCATAGTTCAAAAATATTTATTCTTCTGTACTATATTGATTCTGTTAATCATCTAAAACTTTATTACCAATGGAGTTGATGTTGGAAAAGATGACTGAGCCCCAGTCCCTGGAGCACTATCATACGTACCTAGTTTACTTTTGGGGGCATCCATGATCTTACATTATTAATCTACAGAGGCAGCCCTGCAAGGCCTCCAAACAGACTTAACACAACTCATAGTTTAATATCAATACAATTTCATGACTCTGTTTCTGATGTACTAAATGTTAGCAATCATCAGTAGTCTGAAGAATATACTGGATCTCTTTTAAACCAGAAAGCTTTTTGTTTATATTAATTTACGTGGCTGCCTATGAATTTATGAAATATGCAATTATTGCTCTCAGCTAATGTATGGTTTTACAGATCTAATGTGAAATTGAGAATCAATTTTGATTTAAATGTGCTTTAAAATTGCATGTAATAAAATGTATAGGTCTTTGGTGGTGGGAAGACAGAGGGATACAAGGACTAACTGAATATGTCCAGAGAAAGTAATTTAAAACTGTTTTCTTTATATCAGAATTTCTGCACAGCACTGTGATATAATCAAGTAATTATATACATTGAGCCCTTTCTTTCTCTAAACATCACTCAAGTGGAAGCCATGAAGATTGGTGACAAAGTGATGTTTTATCTTTTCCTGTGTGTCAGCTGGGCTGGCTGTAAATGTATCCTGGTGATTTCACCTTTTTAACTCTCTGTAAATAAAACTTCAATTTGTTATTTTAACTCAAACTAAATTCACCCAATACACTGTGGCATATTTCTTCAAATACCCAGATTTCAATTGCTTTCTAATTAGTAAAAAATTGGGAAATGTTTTCTGGAATTAATGAGATGTAACAGACATATCATTTAATCAACAACCCCTCACTTTCTTTGCTATTCGTACTACTTCTTGGAGATTTCAGTATTAATATTTTTTTCAGTTTTGCAAGAACTTACTTGTAAAAGCAAATTGTTCCTTTTAAATAATCTAATATTATATCTGAAACAAGCAATGTGTTTACTAAGTTGAGTAAATATTTCACTGCCAGTATTAAAATGACATGTAAAGTGTTTTATAATGGTGAAGCACAAGCCTTATAATGTTAAAATTAGGAAGCAAAGTCATTTCAGAGACAATATACCAGGGGGATGTCTTACGAGTTAAATATTACTTAATTCAGAGAAACAGAGTAAAGTGTTACCCTACTATTACCAAAATATGTTAACATCTTACCTTGTTGGAAATCTGTGACTTACTCCTCAAATTTGGGGAGTTTATTTTATTTTATTTTTTTTGGTCATTATGTAGCCATTATCCACAGACTTCTCTCTCTTTTCTTCGATTTTAGTGTTAGTTCATTCTTTTTGACTTGCATGCCTTATTATCGTTTTCTCTGGAAGCATGCCATTGAGTGAATTTTATAGGAAATAATACTGCTGAGCTCTTTCATCTCTGACAAAGTCCTTATGTTCCTACCTTATCCTCACATGTACTGGTATTTTGGCTGGGTGTAGAATTATAGGTTAGTAGTTACCTTCCTCATAGAGCTTTGATGGACTCCATCATTAATATTTAGAAACCATAATGGCAGATAAAATTATTGATACTAATTTAATTTTGGTTCCTTGGCAGGCAATTTTTTTTTCTCTTTCGATGAAATATTTAAACCATTTTTTTGACCTAGATATTCTGAAATCCTCAATTTTAAATGTCAGTCTTTGTTTCATTCATCCAACTTAGTCCTTTTAAATTTGAAGATTAGTATTTTTTGCTTTTGAAATTGTTTTCTTTTTTCATTCTTTCTTTTTATTTATTTATTTTTTGTTGTTAGATTCATTCTGTCACCCAGGCTGGAGTGCAGTGGCATGATATCCGCTCACTGCAACCTCCATCTCCCAGGTTCAATCGATTCTCCTGCCTCAGTCTCCCAAGTAGCTGGGATTACAGGCATGTGCCGCCACACCCGACTAATTTTTATATTTTTAGTAGAGACAGGGTTTCACCATTTTGACCAGGCTGGTCTCGAACTCCTGACCTCAAGTGATCCACCCACCTTGGCCTCCCAAAGTGCTGGGATTACAGGCATGAGCCACTGTGACCAGACTTTTTCTTTATTAATTATGCAATCATTTTCTTATTCATATTTCATCTTTTCAGAACTTTTTGTCAGGATGTGTAATAAATAGATTTCTGTAACTTTTAAGAATGTGTAATAAATAGATATGTGTAGACCTATGAAAGTCCTCAAACTCAGTATCTCTCATATTTTATTTTTCCATCAGTAGTTCTCTTTCTCTTTCTCCCATTTGGCAGATTATTCTAGCTTTCTATTAAATATTTATTTTAGAAATCATAAATTGGATTTCCATAAACTCTTAGTCTCTAATTTCAAATTTCTAACATCTTTTATGAATTAAAATGTTTTTCATTTGTTAAATATTAATCATTTTTTAAAAGTTTATTTTTCATTAATTATATTCATTACCACTATTATCTGTTCTGTCCATATTTGTCTTTCAATAATACCTATTAACATATTTTTTAAACAAAAATGAAAAGGCAATGTGTATACAATGTAAATATGAAAAATAAATTTCTCTTTTCTCTTTGTCTCACACTCACACATATATATTTATTTTACCGAAATGTGAGCTTACTAAACTAAATAAATGTCTCTGCCTTGTATGTTTTTCTTCTAATTATATTTTTGAGATAATTCCATCATAGCCTGTATCAGTAGATCTATTATGTTATACCATTATATGGATCTAATATAATTTGCTTTGCCAATCCAATTTTGATGACCATGTACATAGATTTTAGCCTTTGTCTTCCATGAACAATGCTAAAATTCTTCTATGGATAACTTTGTAGATAAAGTGTGTATATTTGTATATCTGGAAGAAACACTCCAGTTATCAAAATACTGGGTAATAAGACACTTGCATTTTAATATTTTTAAGATATTGTCAAGTTGCTCTACAGAGAGGATACACTCATTTATATCCTATTTAAAATAAATTCTTTCTTCCCCATATTTGACAATGTTGACCATTACTTTGCTTTTTGATATCTACTGTTGATATTTGTAAAAAAATACATAGACTTTATCTTTTAGTTTGCAGTTTTTCAAGTGAGTAAATTACAGCTTTTTTCAAGTATGTTAGTACCAGTTGTTGTTGTTGTTGTTGTTCTGTGTGGGTGTTTCCTGGGTATTCAATACTTTTTAAGTCCTGCTATGGTTTGAATGTATCTCCTCCAAATTTCAGGTGTTATCAGTGTGATAGTATTAAGAGGTGAGACTTTTAAGGGGTGGTTATGCCATGAGGACTTCTTCCTGCAGTGTTAGATAAGCTTGTCTGTCCACCTTCTTTCATGTGATGACGCAGAGTTTCTCCCCTCCCAAGGATGAGTATACAACCCTCACCAGGCAACTGAACCAGCTAATGCCTTGATGTTGGACTTCTCAGACTCGAGAACTGCGACAAGATAGATTTATTTATTTTATAAATTATCCAGTTCCAGGTACTCTGATGTAGCAATACAAAATTGAGACGTGGCTTCTATCTACTTTTTCCTAAGAGTTTATCTTTTGTCTGGTTTTTTTCCTTATTTGAGACCTATTTATGTAAAATAAATTTTTTTTTGTATATCACGTGTTACTATTTTTCTGGCTTGTAATTTTTTTTTTAACTTTGCTTATTGCATTTTTAATGTGAAACTTTCATATCCTGTGAGGTCAAATTCATCCATCTTGTCTCTTATGGCTTTTCTATTTTGTGTATTACTTAGAAAAGATTGTCCCACACTAATATTCACACACATACATACACACACACGTGCACACACACCTTATGTGTATATATACACACAGAGATAATTAGCTTTTTAAAGCTAAAAATCACTATGGTTACCGGTATTTCTTTTAAGGTTTGAAAGTCAGAAATATCACTTGAAATTTCCCTCAATGCATTATTTATCAGAAAGAAACAACCAGTTTGACATTAAAATTGCTTTTAGGTTAAGGTAATCTCTACAAATGTTGACACTTATCCTATAACAGACAGAAATGTTTTTATGTACCTATAAATTAACCAAGAAGTATCTAATTATCTGTCTTTAAGATGAAAACCTTTCCTCTCAAGGTTACCTGAAAAACTCTAGGGCTATGAAAAATCAAGAACTATGGAAAGCCATGACTTATCTTACTAAATGTATCAGGTAGCTATATCTGTAATATGCGTAGTTCTTCTGCCTTATTTGTTTACTGGCAGAGATAAGAATAGAAAAATTAAGGCTAAATCTCTATTGAGTGTGAACTACAGGTCAGGCACTGTCTGAAGTCTGGACACACAGCCTTCTTTTTTAAACTGCACAATAGCTCCTTTTGGTAGGTACTATTATCTACCACATTTTACAGGTGGGTAAGGGGAAGCTTTGTGGCATTATGTAATTGCTCAACATCATGTATCTGGTAAGCACTGTGGAAAGAGCAGATGCTCGGTCTTTCTGATTCCACAGCCCTGTGCACTTACCAATTATTTCATACTATCTCCGGTGTTTGTTACAATAGTAAACCTGTGACATGGTGGTGGGGGAGGGTTCTAGAAGAAAGTAGCTGGTTTTCTGAGGTTAATTCTTCTTATTATAATTAGCTTCGTGTTTATATATTTCAATGTCTTCAAGATTAAGGAAATTGCTACCAGTTTGTGGTCAATTTGAATTTATTATCCATTGTGTTTTTTATTTAAGATAATTAAGAATTCAAGCTCTAGAGTCACTCAGACCTGGATTCACAGTCTGTCTTTGAACTTAATAGCTATATGACATCAGGCAAATTAATTAACCTCTAAATCCCACTATACAGTACTTATCTTCTGAGAAATTGAATTAATAATATCACTCACTTCAGGAGGCTTTGAGGGGGTATTAAGTGAATGTAAACTTTTTAAGATAAGTAATTTTGGTTTTGCATATTGCCATATCTCAAGCACCTAAAAGAATGCCTATACATAGTAGCTTCTCAATAGATATTTGTTGAATAAGTGTATAAAGTGCTTATTGAACTGTTTGTTACCTCCTTTGTCACTGTCAGATAATAAAAACCATAATACTACACATATATCTACTTCTCTTTAAATGCAAAGGATGATTTAAGTGTCCTAATTAAATGTAATTTCTCATTCTTTCTCTTGATACTGCCAATGAAAATTGGTATAGATGGGATTCTGTTAGATCTGGTTTGTTACCTCTTACCAGCCTTTACTATTTTTATGTATATCCTCATTGACAAAACAGAAGAAGAAGGGACCAGTAATTGGTGACAAATCTAATTTGAATTTTTAGTGTTGAACAATGGTATTTCACTTCTTTAAGCTGTACTTTTAAAATGCCACAATTTACTGAACCATTTTATAGGGTCACATGGCTGAGTATGTTTTGAGGATAAAGACATTGGAAGCGAGACAATTTTCAAGAAAATTTTCAGGTGATATTGTAATGTACTTTCCCATTTTAAAATTCAGATTGGAGCTTTAGCTGTATTAATTCTAGAAGCAGGAGAACTGGCTTCATTGCCAGCTCAAAGAACACTTCAATGCCACCAGGAAGAAGGTTGTTGGGGAACAAAGAATCAATGCTCACCCCTGGGTTCTCATTCAAAGGTCTTTTTTGGATGGATTCAGCCACTGGAGTGTAAATTGTCTTGGGGCCAAAAGACTCTACTTTATTTATTGTGGTTTCTCCAGTACTTAGAAGTAAGTGATTAAAAATATTTGCTAAGTGATATGGTTTGGATATCTCCCCACCCAAATATCATCTTGAATTATAATCCCCATAATCCCTTGTGCCATGGGAGGGATCCAGTGGAAGGCAATTGAATCATAGGGGTGGATTTGCCTATGCTGTTCTCGTAAAAGTGAGTGAGTTTTCACGAGATCTAATGGTTTTATAAGCATCTGGCATTTCCTCTGCTGGCATTCATTCTCTTTCCTGTCGTCCTGTGAAGAGTTTTCTTCTGCCATGATTGTAAGTTTTCTGAGGCTTTCCCAGCCATGTGGAACTGTAAGTCAATTAAATCATCTTTCCTTATAAATTATCCAGTCGGGTATTTCTTCATAGCAGTGTGAGAACGGACTAATACACTAAGTGAAGGATTGAAGCCAATCACTGGCAGCCTTTATGTAGCTGTTCCTTTTAAACCAATGTTTATAAATTGTAAATGTATTTTTATTTTCAAGGGGAAAATATAAGGAGAGTATACGTATGCTGGGGAATTTAATAAGAAATACAATTTTTATTTGTGCATTATTTATTTTACAAATTAGGAATGATCAAAGAAACATGGGTTCTTAATATAGTTACTTTTGGACTGAAATTAAATGATCATTCCATAGGTATAGACATGTAATAAATCATCAACACATATTACAAATGAAAAAACTAAACAAAACATAAAACCTCTAAAGACAAATGCCCTGTCATCTTGTGTGACCTGCAGCAGGGCAGGAGCTCAGGGGACTAATCTTTTAGGTCAATGTTTTTTTCTAAAATATCAAGCAAATTAGTTTCAAATAAAAATATAAATATAGCAAATGTGTATTTTCTCTACCATAATTCTTTGGATTTTTGAATATGGATGTCTTTTTCATGTTGTTTACCAATATAGAAAGAAAACATGGCAGATTCCACAACCTTGAAGAATATTTCTGATATACGCATGCGTATGTCTACGCACGCATGTGTAACCACCTCACATGGGTGAAAGATGAGTTGTATTTGGGATTTAAATCATTGTTTTGTAACCTGACAAGATGCTTTGACAGACTGTTAAGATTGAAGCTACTGTGAAAACTGTTCTTTCATTTACTTTCCAATGCTCAATTATTTTCAGCCTTACCCAAAACAGGGATTCATCACCTCTAGAGAAACGCCAAAAGATGTCAAGATGTAGATTTGTCTTTTTTATTCTTTCCTTGCAAATGAGATTCAATTGTCAAGATGACAAAAGATTCAAGCTGGAAAGAAGCCCCCAGTAAAATGTCAGAACTTCATCACAGTAGGAGTTGCAGCAGGCACATTAGTAAAGTTGGTTCAAGTTGGGCTTGACCTCAAGCCAACCATTAGATTTCTGGAGAGAAATTGCATAGATTTAAAGGGATATAATTTAAAAGGTACAATATAGGTTCATTACATCAGTTATTGATTTGTTCCCTTTTGAACTTCAAAGAATTTCTCGTGTATAACTTTGTGACATGGAAGCAAATAAACACACATACAAAAAGTGTTGTTTATGGTGACCTCATTATTCTCAGTGTTCAGATAATGATCTCGTCTTACATAAAATACTTTGATTTAGAAAACTGTGCGAGGAATTTTTCTGATCCAGATTCTCCTGTGACATAAAAATAATTTTGTGCCTCTGTGTGTACAGTAAAACAGGCTTCATTTGGCTTAGGCATCTCTTTACCCATTTTTGTTTACTCTGGATGTAAGAGCCTTTAACTTTTCTGTACCAAGTAAAATGTATGTCTTGGACATTGGGGTTAACTCTTCAACATTCATGCCAGGTCAGACTATTTCTGTAAGTTAGCCCCAGAGATTTTAATCCTATTGTAGCAATAGGATTAGTTTTAGGCATGTGATCAAATGCTTGCCAGTGAGATATCAGTTTCAGGACAAAAGAATCCACACTCCTAAAAAAAAAAAAACCAAAAAAAAACGCAGGTACCCTTTCCACAGCTGGACATTGGCATGTGTGGAAATGACACTGGGGACAACCTCAGCTTCCTTGTTTTCATGGTGAGGAGGTAACAGGCATTAAGCATGGAAAAGCCTGGCAATAACATGGATACATGTTACTATTGCTGAGCACCTGATCAACCTTGGGACTCACTATACTCAAGTCTTTTTGTAGGAGATAAAGCATTGTCTTACTCTTTAATGCAGTTTAAGCTGCTTTTTCTATTACTTACATCTAAAAAATCCTAATTAAGATAAATTAACTGAATAAACCAGTATCTCTGTATTATAACTACTATATGGGTACTCTAATTTTATATTTTAAAAGGAGGACAAAAGTATTTTTAAAAGTGTCTGCAAGTAGTTCTACAATGACAGTCATGTTTTTATGTAAAAACATTTTGAGAAATATTTCCAACAAGTTCTTCATTCCACTAGCCTTTGAGGCTAAGATATTATTCTGGCTCAATCTAGCTATCTTGGCAGTTTACCACAGTGGTTTATCCCATGAAGTTTGCACTGGATTTAGGACACCTATAGACAACAATATGTATCATTATTATTACTATTATTCTATCATAGCTCAGGTTTGTCAATTGGTTTCTATCTAAAGCTTTGCTATTCTAAGATGTGTTCAGCCCTATGCTGAGTGACTACTGTGATTCTGCCATTTTATCTTTCTATTCTGAGTATGCTGTCTGTTTATATCTGTGTCCTATTTGTCACCTGTATTTTCCACATTAGACCGGAAACATCATTGGATATCAGGATATTGGAAATTGCATTTACATTGTATTTTAGCAAATAAACTTGTTTCCTACTTGAAAAAAAAGAGCTAAAAATGCGTGGTATATTGTGCAAAACATGAAGGCCATAATGCTCCCTGTGTGAGCATGGGTTTCTCCAGTGGCAGAGCCATACACAAGGGCTTGCCTGCAGGTTGTTTATTTGTGCAGCAATCCCAGGGAACGGAGTAAGGGACTATGGAGAGTGAAACAGAGAAGGGAAAAGCAATTAAAAGGGTGCACAATCAAGTTGATACCTCTGTTAGTAACTGGGACTTCATCTTGTTGGGGTTTTCTGACTCAGAATGGGTCTTAGAATTGTCTGCCTAAGAAATATAGGGAGCCGTGTTTATCCGGTAGCTCTCATAACCCACAAGTCCAGGCTCATTTGTAACTATCATTTTTCCAGGCTGCATAAATGTGACTGCCATGGGAGTTCGCAGAAGTATCTCATGAAATGGCCTCTTATGAAGCCCAAGACAGGAAGCAGCAGGTACAGGATTCAGCAGAGGTGAGGTGCTGGCAGTGTACCCATGTGTGCATTTGGCTACTCAAAAGTGATTAGAATGAAAGGTCGATTGACAGGCCTCTAATATATGTATTTTTCTAATACTATAAGCTAATCTCTTCCCCTGCAGTAAAAGATAAGGCATTCTTGTTTAATAATTCCATGACTAATATTTTATGGGCAACATTGATTCTAGAAAGCAAATAGCTAAAAGGAGGGCTATGCTAAAAACTGGAGAAAGAAACAAAATGGATTTGAAGACATAGATAATAAATCATCCACAGACATAAACATTGAGGAAAATACATAGAAAGTAGGAGGACACAGAAGAATATTTCTCAAAGTTGGTGTGCGGAAGTAGTGGGAACCAAATAAGCAAGACATTATTCTCTTCATTATTGAGTGGCCTGGCTAATTTAAGAGATTGGAGATTCTGTGGAGGTATGATTGTATACTATTTATGTGAGAATTCATCACAGATGTGATTGATGCTTGGTTAACAACACCACATACATACCACCAACACCACTAACGCCACATAAGGTGGTATTAGTGTGACTAAGACCACAGAGAAAAGTGATTCTTAGTAGAAGTAAATGCACCACTTTTCATGTGTGACTTCAATGCAGAAGGAATGAGAAGAGACACACAAAAGCAGACTACACAGTAAGAGCCTGAAGGAGACATGTATAGACAGTTTTATGATAATGTCTGCTAGAATTATATGGTTCCATTAACAGCACATACATAGGTGTGTGTGCATATGTACATATACATAAATGCACATTTGTATTTGTCTACATGTATTTGTCTCAGGTTGTTAAAGATACATAAAGTGACATCAAGCTAACCGCGATTCCTTGATTTCAGCAAGCTTTTTGACAAAGTCACTATATTCTTGTAAATATGGTGATGATATCTAGATGGGGCTGTTGCAAAATTAGGTCAGTTTGTGCCTGGTAGAATTACCCATCTCAGAGGGTATTGACTAATGAACAGGTCATTGCCAACAAAAACAGAATTTCTCAGTGGCATGCCCCGGAGATCTGTCCTTGGCAATGCCATGCTTAATTTGCTTATAAATAACTTGGATAAGATTTGAAAAGCATACTTTTCAAAATGTTAACAAGAATAGTGCTGAGGGGAAGAGTTGGTACTCAGCCACACTCTGAGGCTGTGTAGTATTGTGGAAGGAAGATTGGCCTGAAAATTCCTAGCCTTGCTATTTATGCTTTGAGTAGTTGTTGTCAAATTTCCTAACAAGTAAAATGGAGGCAGTTATCTTAAACATAATAAATGAAATGCTTAAAGTTATTTTACTCATTTGCTGGCATATAGGAAACGCTATATTAGAAACATAGCAAATCAGTCAAATTAGTTTGATAAGTGGTAATAAAAAGTCAGAGATGTATTGTAAAATTTATTCCTTTAAAGTTGATCTTAAAAGTTAATTATATAGGTATATAAGAGAAATGCATGAATTTACTTAAATTGTGTTTTAATGCTGGACCTGGGAAGTATAACTGATTTCAAATCCAATATGAGGCAGAAATATACATGCATCTTGTCAGAGTTAATTTACTCAGGGCAGCAATCTTACAAATTTAATGTCCAGACCAAGGCAAGCATTCATTACACTATACTTTGCTGTGGGTACCATCACATTAGGATATTTCTGTCTGGCTTAAGGGAAATATTGACAAAGTCTGACATCTCCATAAAAGGGTGACTAGGATAGCAGAACTTCTTTTTTTTTTTTTTTTTTTTTTTTTTTTTTTTTTGAGACGGAGTCTCGCTCTGTCGCCCAGGCTGGAGTGCAGTGGCGGGATCTCGGCTCACTGCAAGCTCCGCCTCCCGGGTTCACGCCATTCTCCTGCCTCAGCCTCCCAAGTAGCTGGGACTACAGGCGCCCGCCACTACGCCCGGCTAATTTTTTGTATTTTTAGTAGAGACGGGGTTTCACCGTTTTAGCCGGGATGGTCTCGATCTCCTGACCTCGTGATCCGCCCGCCTTGGCCTCCCAAAGTGCTGGGATTACAGGCGTGAGCCACCGCGCCCGGCCCAGAACTTCTGAAAATGTGTTTTATAGTCATGAGAATTACAAAAGAGACATTTAGTATGGCCATGTGAAGAGATATTTGAAGGACAGCATTCTCAAATAAGGACTCTATGCTTATATTCTCTCATCTGCACGGAGTGGAAAGGTAGGTGGAAATCATAGAAATAAATATGGCTGAATTTCCAACTGGGTAGTCTCGTATTTAGAACTGTCAAAAATTAAACAATCCTTTTTACAGGGGAACAAGTTTCATTATTAATGTAAGTCCAGGGACATCTTTTCTGAGTCCTGCATTTGAAAGGCAAATGGCAGAGATTACCACCAAAGCATTTTCTGACACACAAATTCTCAGCCTTCATAATCTCGTAAGCCAATTCTTTGTACGAAATCCCTCTCTCTATATATTAATAGATAGACACACACACACACATGTCCACACACATCCAGTTAGATCTGTTTCTCTGGGGAAATCTGACTAATACAGCATTCATTTCTAAATTCAACATCTTGCTTCTTAGAGTCTAGTTTTGTGCCTGAGGAAATAAAAGCAGTCCAGATTTTACATTGCAGGCAAAGTTATACGGGCCACCTGTTACAATATAAAGTACCCTGTAGATAATTTACCCAATGCTTCAGTTCTCAGAACTTACACACAGACTTTTACCTGAACGTCCACATCATAGTAACCTGTATGCTGTAAACAGAAAGGCAAACACTGTGGCCCGTGACTCTGGCTGATTTAAATAGGCACACATTAAAAAAGTTTATACCTTTAAAAAACATTAACAGTGCCTGGGTTTTAATTATTGTTATGGAAATAGTGTGTGGGTCTGTATAGATAACTTACATAAATACAAATGAGGAAATAAAAATCTATAATAATCCATAGTTTTACTTATATTTGTTGTGGAATAGGCCTTATTAATCATAACATAAATTTAAAAATCTTCAGAATAATAAAAATAAAATAAATAATAATGGTTAATAATTTAATCATCATAAAAACCTATGCAGTGGCTGATATTATTATACTTATTTTAGAAAAGAGATAAAACCAAAGCTCAGGGAGTTAAGTAATTTGCACATGGTCACACAGGTGCTAATTGGCAGAGCCAAGGTTGGACCTCTGAAATTTGACTTCAGAGTGGATGTGCTTAACCATTGTGTTTCCTGAGACAAAGTAACCTTTAGAAAGTTTAAAAACGAGAAAGAATGGAAAACAAGCAAACACAGAGTTCACTGAGTATATTTATATTTGAATGTTAATATCCAACATATATAAAGACCTTCAACACAGTTATAAGAAACAGGTAATTGATCTAATATAGAAAAAGGTAATGAATATGATTAGGTAATTGAAAAAACATAAAAGTGTATTCAAGTTTATCAATGTCATTATCAATCAGAAAAATACAATTGTAAAAATAAAGTTTTATTTTTTCATTAAAATAGCGCAATTTAGCAGAAAATTAATAACTAGCATTGATTGGCAAAACAGTTAAAAATAAACATTTTCGTACAATATAACTAGAAACAAATTTTTCTGAGGGAAATTCAGTATCATCAAAATTTTGAAATTTGAAATTCATATCCTTTAACGCTTCTAAGACATCTTATAGATATACACACGTACAAAAAAATTTATGAATAACTTGAGCATGGTTTTTAATAGAACAAAATTTGCAAATAACTCAAATGTCTAACACAGGAGTATATTCAACTTGTGATAATAATGATTTTCATATTTATGAAGACTTTATTGTATCACATATTGTACCAATATTTTATACACATTATTTTTTCTAATGGAAATAAATATTAATCATCAGGTTTTATTAATGTGCCCATTCCTATACGTGGAAACTGAGTCTTAAAAAGTTTACTGATTTGATTGAGATCACATAGTAATAAAGTGAGAAATCAGGATCTGCACCATAAGCTATGCTCACCAATTCTGTAGCATTCTTTGATGTGACTAAAAGAAGGTGGCTCTTGACACGGAAATGTCAGTAAGACACATGTTCAATAAAGAAAGTAAGTTGCAGTGTGTACTCTTGACAGTATTTGCTTATTGCTTTCATTGAAAAATTAACACAATCAGTTTTCCTATCGTGCTCCTTAATTTTTGTTGCTTGTTTGCAAGGGCTTAAACTAATTTTGCTTGCTCTTGTGTTTTCCAAGTTCCCATGAATCTGTTTCTTAAATACATCTTCTGTGTAGGTAATTTTATTGTTTTTCTTACAGAACAATTCTGAGACTATTTTTTATATTAATAAAGTTATAGGTTTAAATTTTGATATATGTGATTGATCTGAATTGTGTCATCTTATTTCATGTGTTCTGGTTTTTAAAGCTTTGTTAATTTGGTTTTCTAGTTTTATAACATGGACTTACATTTTTTGTATTGTGTGAATATATATGATTGTTCTCATAATTTTGTTCCCATAATTTTATTACGTGTTTTAGGTTTTCTAAAGATCGTCTAATATAAAAATATTAATTATAAATATATAATTTATTAATATAGTTTAATATTAGTAAAGTATAATTATTAGTAAATAGTGCATTTATTTATTAATAACTATGCAACTATAAACATGTAATAATTTATTATATCAATGAATATATTATATATTAATATTTATTATTATAAATATTATTTGCTATTATAAACATTAACAAATATTTATTAATATAGCTTACCAAGTATATTAAGTGTCCTTTGACTTGCATATCAGAAAAATGAAGAAATTATTGTATTTTAACCTTCTCACTGCTGCCTTCATCCCTATAATTTTATTCATCTTCCTGTTTTTATTAGCTTTTGTTGCTCTTCCTGACTCTGCCACTTACTAGCTGTTTAACCTTTCACAGTGTTTTAATTTGTCTATGACTCAGTCTCCTCTTCCTTTTTTTTTTTTTTTTTTTTTTTTGAGATGAGTCTTGCTCTGTCGCCCAGGCTGGAGTGCAGTGGCGCGATCTTGGCTCACTGCAAGCTCCGCCTCCCGGGTTCACGCCACTCTCCTGCCTCAGCCTCCCGAGTAGCTGGGACTACAGGCGCCTGCCACCACGCCTGGCAAATTTTTTTTGTACTTTTAGTAGAGACGGGGTTTCACCAGGTTAGCCAGGATGGTCTCGATCTCCTGACCTCCTGATCCGCCCGCCTCGGCCTCCCAAAGTGCTGGGATTACAGGCGTGAGCCACCGCGCCCGGCCAGTCTTCTCTTCTATAAAATTAGAATAATAATATCTCAAAGGGTTGTTACAGTCTTACTTTTATTATTTGTCTTATTATTATTCTAATAATGCCTATGATAGTCTCTAACCTGAGATGTTAATTTATTATTTTAAACATTTACTTCTACCATATAAGATGAGAAATTTGGCACATGTAATTCTTTAATCCCCTACTTATTTTTCTCCCGATATTTGTTACTGATATTTTTGTGTTAGGTATTGTTTTCCTTAATATTTAAATTTTAACTAATAGACTCTAATGAATATGCCTTGATTTTTATTATAATTTTTCCTCTGAGATATAAATATTAATCTACGTTTATTTTTATGATTTCATTCATTTGTACAGTAAATGGTTTATTTAAATTCATGTATTTTGGAAATACGGTATGAAGTGAGAAATAAAGTTGTCTTTGTTTTCTAAAATATTAATCAGTTGTCCTAACACTAATTATTGGATTGTCTCCCTTATTTCTATTTATTTAAAATACTACTAATAATATACAGAAAATACTTAAAATAATTTAATTTTGTTGCTTAATATTTCTACCTGTTTTGTTTATCTAACTGCTTTATGCAATCATTTAGTCACTTAACATTTATCAACTGAGTGCCCCCAGTATGCAACTTAGTACCTGGCCAGAGGACTGGGATAGGAAGGGAAGCAAAAGAGATAAAATATCTGCCCTCACCGATTACTCTCTAGTGCGCTGTCTGTCATTGTAAGAGCTTAAGAGGAGAATGGAGGAACAATTTTCAAGCTGTTTGTACACAGAACCACTGTGCTAAATTTGAGTAAGCAATGTATGCCTTCTTATGATTTCTTTCAAGTCTACACATATATGAATAAATATGTGTGTATGAGGTTTTACTGAACTGTAGAAAAACATACAATAAAATTCCTGCCGAACTGGATTTACCATGTGCCTTGCTCTATCACAACAAAAAAGTTAGTATCACACTCTTTCAACTATTACAATTCATTGATACAATTTAAAATGTAATAGTACAAATTGCTAATACAATTTTGCTTTCAGAAATTCCTTGACTATTGACACATTTAATTTCCCAAATGAATGTTAAAATGATTTTGCTACTTTCTCTGAAATGCTTTAACATTGTGATTTACATTAAAATATACAATTTATTGATTTGAAATTTATGTCTTTATGAAATTGTTTTTCCATGAGAAGCAAGGTACGTCTATACATTTGAATCCTGTTCTGCCGCTTGATAGAGTTATGTAATTGTATTCTATAGGTTTTGCATATTTTTGTTGGAAATTGTTTTTTTCTGTTAAAAATATGAATGAAATTTTTTATTGCATCCCATTTATTGCTAGAATATTTTTTAAAAGACTTATTTATTGCAAACATTTTTTGTGTGGCCACTTTTAAAATTATTAGTAGTCCTAATAGTATTTTAGTTGAATATCTTAAAATTTATAAACAACTATATTGTCAGTAAACAGTTATTTTGTCTTCTCACATTTGTTTCATATCTTATTGCCTGACACTTCATTTAGAACATTGACAAAAATTGTGAAGGTACTCATGTATCTAGTCTTACTCTTGATCACAGTGAGAATGCCCCTAAAGTTTTCCTAAGTATGATGTTTACTTTTAGTTTTAAACATCAAACTACGATGAGAAAGATGCTTCTTAACATGTTTCTTTTCAATGGAGGCATAGTTTATGTACGATAAAACACCCATATCTTCATAATTCAATTATGTAAGTTTTTAAAATTGTATACACCTATGCATCCAGTATCCCTCAAAATAATACAAATATTTCTCTATTCAGAAAGTTTTCTTGCACCACTATCTAATCAATTTCTCATATTTTACAGAGCAATAACTTTCTGATTTCTGATGCCACAGATTAGTTGTGCCTATCCTTTTAATTCATGTAAGTGGAATCATATTACTTACCTGTGTGTGTGTGTTTGTCTTCCATCATTCATTATATTTTTGAGAGTTTTTTTTACATTAATCAGCAGCTTGTTCTTTTTCCTTACTGAATAATCTTTCATTATGTGGCTATACCGTAATTTATACATCCTCTCTCCTGATGATGGATATCTGAGTTGTTTTCAATTCTGACCATTTTACAATTTTAGATAAGGCTGCTATGAACTTTCTTGTACAAGTCTTTTTTGTAGACATGTGTTTTTATTTTGGGTTGTAAGAGTGGAATGCTAAGAATGGAATTGAAGTGTACATTTAACTTTAAAAGAAACTGCCAAATAGTTATCCAGTGTGAGAACAATATATGGTAGTCCCAATTGTTTCACATCCTCACTTACATTTAATGCTGTTAGCATTGACTGATAGCTCATAAACTAATGACGAAAAAGTTTCTATACTTAATGGCCATTCATATGCCTATTTTTTATTGTCTTTTCAAATTTTTGCCCATATTTTATTATTGTTGTTTTTAAGGTTGAGTAGCAAAATGTCTTTGTATATTCTAGACACAAGTCTTTCGTCAGATATGTATTTAACAGATATTTTCTCTAAATCTGTGGCTTGCCTTGCATTTTCTTAATAGTGTCTTTTAATAAGTAATTATTTTTTATTTTGTAAGTCCAATTTACCACTTTCTCTCTTTAATGGTTGGTGCTTTTTGTAACTTATGCAGGACATCTGTGCCTGCACCAAGATAACGAAGGTATTTTCTTGCATCCTTCAGAAGCTTTATGGTTTTTGGTTTTACAAGTTTGTTTCTCATCTTTTTTAAAAAAAACCAGGAATGGGTATTAAATTTTCTTCAAACATCTTTTTAAGTCTATTAAGATAATCAAAAGTAATAAATTAATTTTAGAATAAAGTTCTTATTTCAAATTTTGAATGCTATATTTTATGTGTGCTGAGGATCTTTCAAATCCCTCTCCTTATGTTTTATTGGTGTTATTTGCTTGTTTGGATTTATTTATTCAGATACATTCCTTATATGTACATTTTAACATCAGTAGATGTTAACATATATTAAAAGTTATTCTTAAAGTGTTCTCGACAAACACCAGACACAAATGGTAACTATGGGTGGGAAAACAAATATATTAATTTGATTCTGGTAATAATTACACAATGTTTATATCAAATCATCATGTTATACACCTTGAATATATGTATATATAATTTTTCATGTTAATATTAAAAGATGTTCCTCCAGGTTTTTATCTCTATTCACCTGTTTTTTATTAGAATATTCTTTGTCAAATGATAAACTCAAAAATCTTAATAGTATCTTCTCCTGAGCTAGTTTCTGTCATGTAGCTAAAATGGATCTCCTTAAATAGTTTCCTATTTTCTGTACGCTATAAAAGAAACGAATTCTTAGGCAACCTAAATCATTCTATAGTTCTTTAGTCAATCTAGTAATGCATTAATTGGGCAAATATTTATTGAATGCCTACTATATTTTGGGGATAGTGTTATGGATTGAAGACACAGCAGTGGGAAATGTACACAGTGCCCACATTTATGGAGCTTATATTTTAGTGTGAGACAAACATTAAATAATAAATTATGTTATTATTAATTTAATTTCACTTAGGAGGGATGTTATGAAGGCCATGTACAAGGTGCTAAAGTGAGCCTTTTACAGTGGAGCCTGACCTGCTCAGAAAAGATCAGGGAAGACCTTTTTGAAGATATGTTTTTCTTAGAGTGAGTTCTGAAGAATGGATAAGAGTTAGCTAGGAGAAGGGAGGGTGCACAGGAAGAATATCTGAGAAGGAAGGAACAAAGCAGACAATGCAGAATAACTCCTGTAGTTGACTCTTTAACCTCAGGCCATGGGTCCTCAAATCCATGGATTCTGAAATCTGCCCCCATCTTAAAAGTTCCTTTATACATTACAGCAGATTTCAGTTCTGAAATGTGTGTGTGAAAATATTTTTAAGAATATATGTATCAGGCTGGGCACAGTGGCTCACACCTGTAATCCTAGCACTTTGGGAGGCCGAGGTGGTGGCTCGCTTGAACTCAGGGGTTTGAGACCAGCCTGGACAATATGGCAAAACCACGCCTCTACAAAAAAATACAAAAATTAGGTAGACATGGTGACGCAGCCTTGTGATCCCAGCTACTGGGGAGGCTGAGGTGGGCTGATCACTTGAGCCAGGGAGGTGGGGTTGTAGTCAGCTGACCTTGAGCCACTGTGCTTCAGCCTGGGAGACAGAAGGAGACGCTGTTTCAAAAAATATATATATAAAATATATGTGTCAGTTTTTGTTAGTGCTGAGCCTGTATCCCCTTCATATTCACTTCTACTTGCCAAGGATTTTTTATTTTCAAAAATTTAAAATATTTAATTGCTAGATAAAAATTATATATATTCAGGGTATATAACATGGTGATTATATATATATATATATATATATATATATATATATATATATATATATAAACATTGTGCAATGATTACCAGAATCAAATTAATATATATGCTCCCACCCATAGTTACCATTTAAGTGTACATTGAGAGCACTTAATATTTGCTCTCATAAAATTTCAAGAAGACATGAATAAAGTATTATTAACTAGAGCCACCATAATTTGATGCTGTACGCTAAATCTCCAGAACTTATTTATCTTAGAACTAAAATTTTACACACTTTGACAAACAGATCTTCATTTCCCCTACCCTCTAGCATCTGACCACCATTGTTCTAATGTCTGCTTCTAAGAGTTTGACTTTCTTAGGCTCCAAATATAAGCAAAATCATGCAGTATGTCTCTTTTTGTGTTTGACTTATTTCACTTGGCATAATGTCCTCCAGGTTCATTCTTGTTGTCACAAATGACAGGATTTCCTTCTTTCATATGGCTGAATAATATTCAATTTTACATTTGTATATAAAATATATTAATGGACATGTTAATACATAAAATATACAAAATATTAACATCCATTATGTAAAATATAAGAGGCATATTAATATATAAAATATATATATTGCATTTTTTGAATCCATGCATTCACTGATGATTACCTAGGTTATTTCCGTGTCTTGACTATTGCAAATAATGCTGCAATGAACATAATACTAATTTTATTTCCTTTGGATATATACCAGAAGTGGCATTGCTGGGTCACGTGGTAGTTCTATTTTTAAAATTTTAAGGAAATTTCATATTATTTTTCATAATAATTAAAACTTCTGCATAGCAAAGAAAATAACAAAATAAAAAGGCAACCTATGAGATGGGAGAACATATTTGTGAACAATGCATCTGATGAGTTAGTATCAAAAATATATAAGGAATTCACACAACTCAATAGAAAAAATAAAAATAACCCTACTAAAAATAGGTAGAGGACCTGAAGAGATTTTTTTTTCAAAGAAAACATATAAATAGTCAACATATATGTGAAAAGGTGTTCAACATCACTGTCACAGAAACACAAATAAAAACCATAACATGATATCATATCAGAAAGGCTATTATCAAAAATATGAGAGATAACACGTGTGGGTGAGGCTGTGAAGAAAAGCAAAGCCTTGAGCACTGTTGGTGGGAATGAAAATTGTCATAGCCAGGAAGCCAAGATATTCTAATTGAGAACACCTACACCTCTTTGCCTCAGAGCCTTTTTTGCTGGAGCCATGTTCAACTCAAGCAACGGCAGCTGAAAGGGCCAGAAGTCTACACTCTAGGGAACACTTTTCAGCCAGTGGATGCCAGTGTCATAGGATAATTAGCATCACCTTCTTGTCCTACAGTTGGGAAACCTCTAAGGAGCATTTTAAACTCTACCCCAGTGTACCCCAGTGGGATTGAGCTGTAGTTTTCTTCATAACACGAACAATTTTGATTTTGTTACACTCTTGTATCTTCTCCATATTCTACTTCCAGTGTTTCTTAGTATTACCTCCTAAATAGATTACCTGGTGATATGGTTTGGCTGTGTCCCCACCCAAATCTCACCTTGAATTGTAATTATCCCCATGTGTCAAGGGCAGGGCCAGGTGAAGATAATTGAATCATGGTGTCGATTTCCCCTACAATGTTCTCATGGTAGTGAATAAGTCTCATGAAAGCTGATGGTTTTATAAATGGGAGTTCCCCTGCACAAGCTCTCTTGCTTGCCATCATGTAAGATGTGCCCTTGCTCCTCATTCGCTTTCTGCCATGACTGTGAGGCCTCCCCAGCCATGTGGAACTGTGAGTCAATTAAACTGCTTTCCTTCATAAATTACCCAGTCTCAGATATGTCTTTATTAGCAGCATGAAAAAACAGATTAATACAGTAAATTGGTACCACTGTAAAGATACCCGAAAACGTGGAAGTGACTTTGGAACTGGGTTACAGGCAGAAGTTGGAACAGTTTGGAGGGCTCAGAAGAAAACTGGAAGATGTGAGAAAGTTTTGAGTTTTCTAGAGACTTGTTGAATGGCTTTGACTAAAATGCTGATAGTGATATAGACAATAAAGTCCAGTCTGGAATGGTCTCCGATGCATGTGAGGAACTTGTTGGGAACCGAAGTAAAGGTGACTCTTGCTATGTTTTGACAAAGAGTCTGGTGGTAGAGATTTGTGGAATTTTGAACTTGAGAGAGATGATTTAGGGTATCTGGCAGAAGAAATTTCTAAATGTCAAAGCATTCAAGAGGAAGCAGAGCATGAAAGTATGGAAAATTTGCAGCCTGATGATGCACTAGAAAAGAAAAAACAATTTTCTGGAGAGAAATCCAAGCCTGCTGCAGAAATTTGCATAACTACCAAGGAGCCAAATGTTAATCATGATGACAATGGGGAAAATGTATCCAGGGCATGTCAGAGATCTTCTTGGCAGCCTTTCCAACACAGGCCCAGAGGTCCAGGAGAAAAAAATTGGTCTCCTAGACTGGGTCCTATGCTGAGTGCAGCCTAGGGACTTGGTGCCTTTCCTCTCAGGTACTCCAGCTGTTGCTAAAAGGAGCCAAGGTACAGCTTGGGCCATGGCTTCAGAGAGTGCAAGCTCCAAGCTTTCACAGCTTCTATGTAGTGTTGAGCCTGTGGGTGAACAGAAGTCAAGAATTAAGGTTTGGGAACAGTGCCTGGATTTCAGGTGATGTATGGAAACGCCTAGATGTCTAAGCAGAAGTTTGTTGCGGGAGTGCGGCCCTCATGGAGAACCTCTGCTAGGACAGTGTAGAAGGGAAATTTGGGTTGAAGCCCCCACATAGAGTCCCCATTGGGGCACTGCCTAGTGGAGCTGTGAGAAGAGGGCCATCATCCTCTGGACCCCAGAAAGGTAGATCCACCAACAGCTTGCACCATGCACCTGAAAAAGCTGCTGACACTAAACACCAGCTGTGAAGGCAGCTGGGAGGGGCCCTGCACCCTACAAAGCCACAGGCAGGGCTGCCCAAGACCATGGGAACACACTCTTGCATCACTGTGACCTGGATATGGGACATGGAGTCAAAGGAGATCATTTTGGAACTTTAAGGTTTAATGGCAATGGCTGCTCTATTGGATTTCAGACTTGCATGGGGCCTTTAGCCCCTTTGTTTTTGACAATTTCTCCCATTTGGAATGGGTATATTAACCCAATGCCTGTACCCACATTGTATCTAAGAAGTAACTAACTTGCTTTTGATTTTACAGACTCATAGGTGGCAGGGAATTGCCTTGTCTCAGATGAGAGTTTAAACTTGGACATTTGTGTTAATGCTGAAATGAGTTAAAACTTTGGGGGCCTGTTGGAAGGGCATGATTGTGTTTTGAATTGTGATGACATGAGATTTGGGAGGGGCCAGGGCTGGAATGATACGGTTTGGCTGTGTCCTCACCCAAATCTCACCTTGAATTGTAATAATCCCCACATGTCAAGGGTGGGGCCAGATGGAGATAATTGAATCATGGGGGCAATATCCCCCATATTGTTCTCATAGTAGTGAATAAGTCTCATGAGATCTGATTATTTTTTAAGTGGGAGTTCCTCTGCACAAGCTCGCTTGCCTGCCACCATGTAAGATGTGCCCTTGCTCTTCATTCTCCTTCTGCCATCATAGTGAGGTCTCCTCAGCCATGTGGAACTGTGAGTTAATTAAAACTCTTTGCTTTATAAATTACCCACTCTTGGGTATGTCTTTATTAGCAGTGTGAGAACAAACTTATACACCTGGTCATATCTTTGTCCCTGTGATAAGCCAAACAAAGCCATTCATTACTGGAGGAAGTCCCTGAAAAGAAATTCTTAGAATAGGTTCCTTTGAATGGGATCACTTATCTCCTTGAGTAGCTGAAGTTTTTAATTTTGATGAAGCCCAAATTATTAATTGAGTTTTCTTTTAAGATTAATATTTTTAGGCCTGGATGGTGGCTCACACCTATAATCCCAGGACTTTGGGAGGCTGAGGCAGGCAGATTGCTTGAGGCCAGGGGTTCAAGACTAGCCTGGGCAATATGGCAAAACCCCATCCCTACCTCAGAAAACACAAACAAAATTTAGCTGGGCATGGTGGTTTGTGCCTGTAGTCCCAGCTACTCAAGAGGCTAAGGTGGGAGAATTGCTTGAGTCCGGCAGTTGGAGGTTGCAGTGAGACAAGATTTCACCACTGCACTCCAGCCTGGGTGACAGAGTGAGACTGTCTGAAACAAACAAACAAACAAACAAACAAAAAAAACCACACAAGTATTTTTGGAAATTTGTTAAGAAATCTTTGTCTATTTACATAAGAGTTCCAAAAATATTTTAATATGTTATTGTCTAGGAACTCCATACTTTTTGAATTTTATATTTAATCTGCATTCTATTTTAAACTAAAATTTATATATGGTGTGAAGTATGATTACAGCACCACCTGTTGAATTGACTTCCTTTGCCCTTTAAATTGCTTTGAATTATTCATCGAATATCATTTGATTATATTTGCTTGAGGCCATTTCTGCCCTTTCTTTTAAGCTGTATTCCTCCATTTGTTTATATTTATGCTAATACCATATTCACTAAAACATATAGTAAGTTATTTAAATACCACTTGAAACAAATTTTTAGTAAAACTTTAAGACTTCTAAAATTGTCCACTTTTTTTTCAAGGAAATTTTGACAATTTTAAGTTCTTTATATTTTCTTTTTCTTTTTTTTTTGTGAGACAGAGTTGTACTGTGTTGCATAGACTTGCGTGCAGTGTTGTGATCTCAGCTTACTGCAACCTCTGCGTCCCATGTTCAAGCAATTCTCCTGCCTCAGCCTCCCGAGTAGCTGGGATTACAGGCACACACCACCATGCCTGGCTAATTTTTGTATTTTTAATAGAGACAGGGTTTCACCATGTTGGCCAAGGTGGTCTCAAACTCCTGACCTCATGATCTGCTTGCCTCGGCCTCCCAAAGTGCTGAGATTACAGGCGTGAGCCACCATGCCTGGCCTGGTTCTTCATATTTTCATATAAAATGTTAGTTTATCAATTTCTGCTGAAAAGCCCTGATGATATTTTAATTGATATAGCATTTTATTTTTTTAATTAGATATGATTACGCTATTTAAAATTTTTCTTCTTTCTACATGTAAGAATGATAATCCTCTCCTTTTACTTAATTCTTTAAACTTTCTAAGGAATGCCATACAGTACATTAGAGTTCTTATACATGTTATTAAATTTGTTCTTAAGTAGTTTACATATTCCTGTGCTATTTATTTTTAATTTTATTTTCAGCATTTTTTGTTAGTATATTGAAATATAACTTATTTCTTATATTAGATTTAGCATTTTTGTAGATTCCTTTAGCGTTTCTTCATAGAAATCATGCTTTCTGGAAGTTTTATTTCTCATATTCCAACCTTTATATATTTTATTTCTTATTTTATCTTACTTCATTAGAATCTCTAGTGTGAAAGTGAATAGAAGAGATATGAGTGTATATACTTTGCCTCATTCTGATTTTAGTCTTAGGGCAAAAGCACTCATGAGTTCACCATTAAAAGTGCTTTTATATATGTGCCTTTTATCAAATTTAGGAAGTTTTCTTCTATTACTAGGTAGCTAAGTGATGTCATCATGAATAGGTGTTGGATTTTGTCAGAAGGCGTTTTCTGCTTCTAGTGAATAATAACATTATTTATCTTCTTGATTCTATTAATGTGATGAATTACAGTGTTGATTTTAGGTATCAAATTAAGTTTGCCTTTCTGGACACACTCCACTGGCCATGATTTATTATTATTATTAATTTTTATATTGCTGAACTTGATTTTCTTAGTCTTTGCAAGGATTTTCTATTTCATGAGGGATATTGGGCTATATTTTCTTCCTTTAATGTCTTTGTCAGCCTTTGGTTTTGCTGTTAATCCAACCTAATGAAATAAAATGATGAGCCTTCTCTCCATCTTCTATTTTCTGAAAAAGTTTGTGTAATATTAACATTAGTTACTCTTTGTATGTTTAGTAGTATTCATGGAGGAAACCATCTGTGCCTATTTTCATCTTTTTGAGAAGGCTTTGGAATTTATTTAGTTTCTACATATTTTCTACTTATTTTAATAAATTATTTTTGTTCAGTACCTTTTTCCATTTTATCTACATTACTAATTTGTAATTTGTAATTCAGTAATTTCTAATTTTTTTTTAGTGCCTATTGGATCTGTAGTGATAGCCCATTTTCATTCTTAATATTAAGAATTTATACTTTTTTCTATTATTTTTGCTAAGTTTATCACTTACATTAAGCATTCTAAAGAAACAAATTATGACTTTGTCAATTTTATCAATTATTGTCTGTCTTCTACTGTTATGTTTATTTGTTTTTCTCTACTTACTGTGGGTTTATTTTGCTCTTTTTTCTGCTAACATTTTTAGGTGAATGCTTAGATCATCAACCACAAACTACAGCCCACAGGCCAGATATCTGTTTTTAAGAATGAGGTTTTATTGGAACATAGCTACACTCATTCATTTATGTAGTATTTATGGCTGCTTTTGTGTCACAATGGCAGAGTTCAATAGTTGCTGTAGAGACCATTGTCCATAAATCTAAAATATTTTTTGCCAGACTCCTTAAGAAAAAATATGACAATCTCTAGCTTAGATCACTAATTATAGAAATTTCTTTTCCATTATAAACTTCTAAAGGTTTGAAATATCCTTTAAGCTTCACCATAATTACATCTCACAAATTTTATGCTGTGCTTTTATTTTTATTCATTTCAAAATGTTTTCTCATTTCTCCTTTCTTCTTTGACTCTAGGGTTAGGTAGATACCTGTTGCTTAATTTACAAATAATTGAGAATTTTGTCATTTTTTTGTTTTTGATTTCTAATTTTGTGTTTACCTCAGATACAATATGCACAAAATGATAATTTCAATTCTTTGAACTGTATTAAGATGTGTGACCTGGTATAATGTCTACCTTGATATATGTTACATACGCACTTGAAAATAATACATCCTCTGCAGCTGTTAAGTATAGTGTTCTATAAATTTCTATTTGGTCAAGTTGGTTGATACTATAGTTTAGATTTTCTACATCTTTACTTGGTTTTTGTCTATCTATTCTATCAATCAACAAAAGGAGGGTATTTATATTCAAATATGGGTGTGGATATGTCTGTTTTTATGTTTAATGCTGTCAATTTCTGCTTTATATTTTTAAGAATTCTGTAATTAGATTCATGTAAACTTGGGATTTTTCATGATTCTTTGATTAATTGGTGCTTTATAATTTTAAGTTATTCTCTATCTCTGATGCTATTTCTTGTTCCGAGATTTACTTTGTCTGACACATAGCCAAACTAGCTTTATTATGATTTTTGTTTACCATAGTGTATCTTATTCCATACTGTATCCATACTTATTCCATACTTATTCCAGGCTATCTGTATCTTCCTATATGTATCTTTATATTTGAAATGTGTCTCTTTTAAGAACAATATAGTTGGGTCTCTTTTGTTTATTTCTAATAATTCACTCTGAAAATTTCTTCTAATTGGAGTTCTTAGCTCATTTACATTTAATGTTAAATGTTGATATTTTTTGGTTTAAATCTACCATCTGGCTATTTGTGTTTTAATTTTTTTAGGGACAGGGTCTTGCTATGTTGCCCAGGGCGGTCTTATACTCCTGGCCTCAAGTGATCCTCCTGCCTCAGCCTCCCGAAGTGCTGAGACTACAAGGCATGAGTAAGTGAGCCCAGCCCTGTCTATTTGTTTTTATGTATTCCCTTTGTTGCTACTGCTTTCCCTGAGATTCTTATTTTTTTCTCTCTTTTGTAGCAATCATGCATTTTTTAGTATTTCATTTAAAATACTTTTTTCATTTCTACCTATACCTCTTTGTTTATCCAGTTTTTAATGGTTGCCCTAGAGACTAGAATATATATGCTTAAATTATAAAAGTCTGTCTTGAAATAATGTAATGCAACTTTACACAAAATGTAAAAATCTCTCTCTCAATGCTATAATTTCATTTAGTACCTCATTCTGTATTTTTGTGATATATTTACAACTACATATGGTGAAATTCCATAATATAATGCTATTATTATTCTTCAGCCTGGAGAACGTACTTCAGTACTTTGTGTAAAGTAGGTTTTATACATCTTTTGACATGCTAATTGGACTCAGAACTTTATACATGTTCTTATAATTATAGAATAATGTGGTCTTAGCATAGCCTGATTTATCTGTATTACATGCACATTTCTAAGTGGAAGAATTATAGGGACATGATTGAAAACACTCAGAACACCTAGACCAAAACCCAGAAGGAGTAACCAAACTATAATCATAACCAAATGACCAAATATCTAAGTTCTAAGATCAGTTATTGTCAACATCCACGTCAAGTCAGTTTTACTGCTAAAGGCATGTCATCAGAGCTGACAGTCAGTGATGATGCTTGGAGGCATAAGAAGGAAAGATCCTATGATTACAGTATCTGCTACTTTCCAGTTTTATATATCTTGGGGATAAAAGTTAATTTGGTTCTCAGAACAACTCTGCAATACAAGTTTTATCACTCCTATTTCACAGATAAAACAAGTATTTATGGTAGTGCATATGGCTAGAAAGGACCCCAGCTGGTAACTATGAGTGTAATAAGTATGGTTTAAACCCTGAATTAGGAGGTTGACTAGACTTCAGAATAATTAAAGAAACCAGTGTGACTCCATCCCACACCATCATATGAACTTGACACACCACATGTCAGGTGGGGCCTGGAGTGAGGCCATAGCTCAGTAGTCACATAATTGCCTAGGGCTAAGACAAGAGATTGTAAGTTAATTGTATTTCTGGATGAGGATGAGGATTCCAATGTCTTACCTTCCTTTTTCACATCCATTCTGGGAACTGGTTAGCACCAAATGAAGACATAAGTGCCTGTAGCACAGTAGTATTGTCAAAGGTGGGAATGACAAAATAGAAGCCGGATATAGACCATTCAGTTATTCCCTGTTGCAGGAAACAAAACAAAACAACATTGCTAGGTAATTTTTTACTAATGGAACTCTTGCCTACTTTTCCAGATCATCACAAAATATTGGCAGAATGTCTGTTATGTTTCTAACGGGACAAGTCATCATAAACACTGAAAGCAGATATTGTGCCCTCCTGCTGTTGCTCACCTAAAAGCTATGCTATTATTTGAATTCCTTTCTTCTAGTTATATCTGTTATACATAGAGTAAAAATGCTCATCCTCTTCCTCTGCTACCCTTTTTCCCCACAAATTCATTTATTTATTAAAAAACATATAATTTACCATCAGACTTTTTGCCCTTAGCCAAAACAATTATCTTTTTTAAAAAAACTTTTTAGTATAGGTTCTGTTTTCTCATTCTTTTATACTTTCTATGTTCTCCCATGAGAGATATTTTTCTTTAATTATAATCAATCTTAAGTCACTCTATCATAATATACATTTTTATTAGACATTATTGGAAAATATAAATTAAAATTTCTAGGAAGCCAAATCATACATTTCCTGTGGTTCTGTTCAAGGTGGAAATGAAAGTCATTTCTGGGTATCAAGGCCAAAGCAACTTGGGCAAAGAAGCAGTGAGATGCTGCAGTTGTCTTGCATGTTTATTAGTGTAATGAATCACATTTATGAAAGCATTACAAAGTTATAAACAGTTATAACAGCGCAGAGTGGTCCATCCGAGATACTCAATATATAACTATTTTATTACTGCAGTGGACCAACATTACAATTAACTAAGGAAACAGGGTACATATAAGTTATTCCAAAAAAAAAAGAGTGACTTTCTGGACTACTTTAAAAGTGTATTCTCATAAGTCACAAATAATTGTACAGCTATCAAAATATTATACATAAATCCATAAAGGCACCCTTGCCACAACACTATTTAAATCGCATAGAATAAATCTTGAATAGGATGCAGGATTTTGTCTTTAGAGCTGTGTACAATGAAGAAATTCGAGTCTAAAAGGTGCAAGAATAGTTTCATACATTCAGAAATATCTCTGTCAATAAGATCTTGCTATCTAGTCTGTTGATCGTTTTCCATTTTACCCAAGAATCAGTCTCAGTCAGTGATGCATGCCTACCTCTGTGCTGGTTCTCCCAAGCTCCACTTCCCTCTGCCAGCATAAATCTCTGCAGATGGATGACAGCAAGTTACCTTGTCTGTTATCTCCCTGTTTTGCACACTCAAATGCCTTCTCTTGTCTTAAAGGGGAAAGCTATGATGACAGATTATAAGGACAAGATATCATTTTGTAATTTAACATCATTATTTCAAAGACTCTAACATTTATCTGCATAGTGCTTTTTGAAGGAATTGCCTGCTGTTAGCATTGACTCAACTATTTCTTTCAAAGAGTGGAGAAAGTTCTAGGATTCATTAGTCTTCAAACACATTTCTTAAAAGCTTTGTGTTCAGCAAAATCCAAATTATATTTTGAAGCATTTTCTTCTTACCTTAGAAACCTTTTAGTGTTTAAGAAAAATACAATCAATAGCTACTCTTCCTACTTAAGCTTTAAATCAATAAAATGCACGTTTTAAGTTATTTGATATCCCCAAATATTTAATTTTATCAATAACATCAATTTGTCTATTGCAATTTTTTAAAATTTCCCAATTATTTACTTATAAAGCTCTACCAGTACATTTGAATACTTAAACAAATTATGAAATATTAGCCCTCGTGTTGGTTAAAAATATTGTGTATATAGGACAGTGACTTAACCTATGTGATAATTTTCCTATTTATTGTAAAGTTGTTCCCCCAAAATGTCATTGTGCCTAAAGGGTGATTGAGGCTCTCGAAATTACTAATCTGATGTTAAACTTACTTATTAAGCACTTTACCCTAAATATGTACATAGTCCTGGCAGTGATGAGTGAACATATTCAATCTTAGAGATCAATTACTATTCTTTTGGCTTCCATAAAGTACACACTCTTTACTAATTGTAAGTTCAGCACTGGAACCCACTTTTCATTGGCCACATACAATCAAATGTCTAATGATGATTCTGAGCTATTAGTAGCAGTAGTACCTGGGTGCTTCAACTGAGGGAAGACTCAGGACTTGTTCTGGGTCTGACTCTTGCAGGTACCACTTTTCCAACATTCTTTCCAAGAACAGAGGTCTAAAGCTTGCTCACTACATGAGACTTCTATCTAGGAGTCTGTTTCCTGTTCCTCTTTATAGTTCTCTGCTGTAAGGTAGTATGGAGTGATACTTTAAGTAGGCCGATGAGACAATTATATCAGGTCAACAACTGAACAAGGCCTTCTATACTCTTGCTGTAGTAACAGGGCAAAAAGACTCTTTCCTCAGTCCTAGCCTTAGATACTGCGCATATTCAAGCACAGATGTTTTATGATTTCTGATATGGTTTGGCTGTGTGTCCCCACCCAAATCTCATCTTGAATTGTAATAATCCCCACGTATTGTGGAAGAGACCTAGTGGGAGGTTATTGAATCATGGGGGCAGGTTTTCCCATGCTGCTGTCATGATAGTGAATAAGTCTCATGAGATTTGATGGTTTGATAAAGAGGCGTTCTCCTTCACATGCTCTCTTGCCTGCCACCATGTAACATGTTCCTTTGCTCTTCCTTCTTCCACCATGATTGTGAGGCCTCCTCAGCCATGTGGAGCTGTGAATTAGTTAAACCTCTTTCCTTTATAAATTACCCAGTCTCAGGTATGTCTTTATTAGTAGCATGAGGATGGGCTAATACGATTTCAGTATTAAAGGAAGGGTGGGTTTGAGATTGAATACAGAGGAGATGCCTAGCTCAAGTTCTCTGGTCTTTAAGCCAATAATTGGGGTAGGAGGTGGTATCTGGCCCTCTTCCCTTGCACTGATAGCAGCCTCCTTTCTGAAATGCCAATCTAATTCTCAACTCTTACCAGTAATTTGAACCCAAAGGAAGCAATATCTTCAGGTAACACAATTAGAGAATTAAAAATATTTCTTAGCTTTCTGGTAATAAAACTTCCTTTTTGTTATGTAAGCTTATATTTCAATTATTAGACATTCCATTATTAAATGTATTTTCATAAAGCAGTAAGTACTTGGCTTTTGTCACCTTGCTATCCTACAATGAACTTTTAAATTTTATAAAGGCTGGATCTATGTTTTATACAGTTTATTTAGGCTCAAAGTATCTGTCTTACTTTTGCATTTTTTATTTTGCTGTGGGACAGTATGCCTTTAGTTTTGTGAGACAAATTACAAATCATAAATAGTTCTTTGTCTTTGCTTATGTATTTATTCACCTTATATCCCTGAAATCTTGAGTGTTTTTGTTTTCTTTTCATTTGGAAGCCATTTATTCCTACACTATTTTCTCCATAAGATAAGCTGATTAATAAATTTAGAGATAAACACAATTCTGCAAAATTACCACTCCCTAGATTTCCAAATGAAGTAATTAATGGATCCTAAAATTGGGTTACTTAAAGCAGTTTTTCTCCCTGCATTTACTGAGGTCAGTAAGATAGGGAGTTTTTACTTCCTTTGGACAAGAACATGCATCAATTTCTTAGGACCAAGCTAAAATCATTCTCTCAAACCAAGACACTTATAATATTATACTACTATAATATTATTAAATATTTCCATGGCAAGGTGGCTGCCCAGTGGGTTCACCTTGCCCACTGCCTAGACAGAGCCACTTTATGAAGACAGGGGAATCGTAATAGAGAAAGAGTTTAATTCATGCAGAGCTGGCTGTGCAGGATACTGGAGTTTTATTATTACTCAAATAAGTCTTCCAAAAAACTTGGGAATCAGAGTTTTAAGGATAATTTAGTGGGTAGAGTTTTGAAAAGTGGGGAGTGCTGATTGGTTGGGTTGGAGATGAAATCATAGGGAGTCGAAGCTGCTGAGTCGGTTCCTGGGTGGAGGCCACAAGACCAGATGAGCCAGTTTATTGAGCTGAGTGGTGCCAGCTGATCCACTGAGTACAAGGTCTCAAAAATATCTCAAGCACTGATCTTAGATTTTACAATAGTTATATTATTATCCTAGGAGCAATTTGGGGAAATTCAGAATCTTGCATCCTCCAGCTGCATGACTCCTAAACCATAATTTCTAATCCCGTGGCTAATTTGTTAGTCCTGCAAAGCCAGTCTAGTCCCCAGGCAGGAAGGGGATTTGTTTTGGGAAAGGGCTGTTATCATCTTTGTTTCACAGTTAAACTATAAACTAAGTTCTTCCCAAAGTTAGTTCAGCCTACACCCAGGAGGGAACAAGGACAACTTGGAGGTTAGAAGCAAGATGGAGTCAGTTAGGTTGGCTCTCTTTCACTGTCATGATTTTCTCAGCTACAATTTTTGCAAAGGTGGTTTCAGCAATAGTAGCCCAGTATAGCCCACCTACCATAGCAACCCTAAGAGGTTAGTATTAGCCAATTCATGTGTGTCACTAATTAGGAACCTGAGAGCAGGAGCAGTTAGGGGACCTACTCAAGGTTAATAGGCTGTAAGGATTTCTGAGTTTAAGCACAGAACGCTCTCCTATAACCCCCAGCTGCTTTTGGTGATGGCAGCATTTTGTTTTTGTACATGCAATATGATATTTTCCTTTGTAAGAAGTGGAAAAGACCAGATCAAAGACTTATTTAACTAAAGTACAGTTATCTCATTAGCAAATTTAGTTTCTTTTCTGTAATATGATAGTTATGTAAAAATAAACCAACCACCCAGGGACAAGCCATCTGCTCCTTAATCAGGTATGTTCTTGTTTAAATGAGAGTCATCAGTGCAGAGGTGACACAAGGGGGAAAAACAGACTTTGTTAAAGATGCTAAGCTATAACAGAAATAGAAAGATAAATTATTCTGGTTAAGTTGTATAAATGTTATACTTAGGTCTCAGTAAAATGCAAGGGGAAATAAGGGATTTTTTTTTTTTTTTTGTAAAAATTCAAAGACTACAAAAATCTTTGTATTTTGAAAAAAGCTTTTTCTGGCAACCCAAATTTCCACATATGTCCTTTATCTGAATAAGGCCATTCCATTTTTTCCCCTAAATTTGTACATTTTCTTCTTATTGCTTTTTCTACTGGCAGGCAAATGTATAAAATTACAATATTTCAAGCACTCAGAAATGGCAGTCTCTCTCTCTCCTTCTCTTTCTCTGAAACACAAATGTATACATACCACACACACCCATACATACACAGGTAATAAAAGGAGAGGCTGAGCTAATTACTGTTCTTCTGCATCCAAATGTTAAATTAATTTTGACCTCAGGCTCACAGGTACATGCAAAATGTAATCCTCAAATAGCACCAACACTGGACTGTATTTTTGTTTCCAAGTGCCTCAATTCTTCAGGAGTTTCTCAGAGATAGTCACTATGGTGGTGATGGTAATGTGGGGAGCAGGGTTGTGCTCATACCATAAAAGTATTTAAAGGTATATGAAAAAATATGCACTAGGACTAACAAGTCTTCCCAACTTTTTAGTCTTTCAAAATTTGCAATTCTGGAAGGGTAAATTTTTGTTCCACCTTCCACTTTGAGACAATACTGGCATTAAAAATAAATAAAATTTGCTGCTCTACAATTAACTTAGCACATCCCTCCCTACTATTATAGCTTTCTACAACTTTGCTCCCTAACTTCCTTGCTTCCCTTCCTTCTCAGTTCCCTCCTGATATGGTTTGGCTGTGTCCCCTCCCAAATCTCATCTTGAATTCTCATGTGTTGTGGGAGGGACCCAGTGGGAAGTAAGTGAATCATGGGGGCAAGTCTTTTCTGTGCTCTTCTCATGATAGTGAATAAATCTCACAAGATCTGATGGTTTCAAAAGGAGGAGTTCCCCTGCACAAGTTCTCTCTCTTTGTCTGCTGCCACCCACGTGAAATGTGACTTGCTCCTCCTTGCCTTCTACCATGAATGTAAGGCTTCCCCAGCCACGTGGAACTGTAAGTCCAATAAAACCTCTTTCTTTTGCAAACTGCCAATCTCGAGTATGTCTTTATCATCAGTGTGAAAATGGATTAATATAACTCCCTGCCTCTCTCTTTTTCTTTCTTCTCCTTCCCTCCCTCTCCTGCCTCTCTATGTTGTCTAATGAAAATTGTTCTTCTTGAGAAACCAATTACAGTCTGGGTGATCTCAGCCACAGGTGATATTATGTGAAAAATTAGGAAAGAAATATTTAGCTATTTTATCCGTGAAAGAATGAAAACATCAGAGCAGCACATGAAATTTGGATGAAATTTTAATTTGATATTTCCTAGTTTGTCATTTCATGCTTCTAACCACATTGTATTTGGCTACAACTTTCTCCAGATAATGGTTTGTCAGATAACACTTTGTATTCATTGATGTTCAGAGATATATTTGGGAGAAAGTGTAAGAAAAAGATTAGTTTAAGAAGGAATCAAAACACAATATAGCACACCTGTGAAATAAAACAAGGCACTGGCTGGGTGCAGTGGCTCACACCTGTAATCTCAGCACTTTGGGAGGCCGAGATGGGTGGATCACTTCAGGTCAGAAGTTTGAGACCAGCCTGGCCAACATGATGAAACTCAGTTTCTACCAGAAAATACAAAAATTAGCTGGACATAGTGACATGTGCCTGTAGTCCCAGCTAGTCGGGAGGCTGAGACGGGAGAATTGCTTAAACTTGGGAGGTGGAGGTTGCAGTGAGCCAAGATCACGCCAATGCACTCCAGCCTGGGTGACATAGTGAGACCCTGTCTCAAAACAAATAAACAACAACAAAAAAACA